>NT_187385.1:109388-112551 GCF_000001405.40 Homo sapiens | reverse complement strand
ATCACACCTGTGTTTTCTCCACAGAAGAGTAAAGATTAAAAATCACAATAATATTTATTGTACATATGGAGGTAAAGATACTCAAAATATTACCCTAAAATACTTTTTTTTTGAGATGGAGTTTTGCTTTTATTGCCCAGGGTGGAGTGCAATGGCACAATCTTGGCTCACTGCAACCTCAGCCTCCCAGGGTCAAGTAATTCTCCTAGCTCAGCCTCCCAAGTAGCTGAGATTACAGGCATGCACCACCACACTCGGCTAATTTTTTGTATTTAGTAGAGACGGGGTTTCACCATGTTGTTCAGGCTGGTCTCGAACTCCTGACTTCAGGTGATCTACCCACTTCAGCCTCGCAAAATGCTGAGATTACAGGCGTGAGCCTGGCCAACTTTTTGACTTATTTCAAGATGGCTACTCGGAAGACTGGAAATAGCTTCTTCTACAAGAATAGCTGAAAAGTTGTGTTTGTTGGGGAGATTTGCATTTGTAGAGAAAATCTGCATTGATATAGACAGGCTTTCCCTGAGATACTCCCTTGTCTGTGTTTAGGAAAGATTAACTGAGTCTGGCACGTTTACATTTTTAAAAATCATTTCCTAACTATACTTCCCAAGAGGAGGTCTGCTCCCTGTGAGGTTTCATCCGTGTAACAAGACCACCTCTGCTGCCAGGCTACTCCGTCTTCTTTGTCGTCTCTTGTCTTCCGCAAAGACTGATTGACCAACGTACAGGTCTGTGTTTTCTGTAACCTCAAGACAACATAGGCGTGTTGACTACCTTGCCTTTCCTGGAGTTTTTATATATATAGTATATATTTGTATATCTATGTATAATATAAAAATATTTGTATATATATTTATATATATTATGTAAACTCCAAGTGCATACTTGTGCACATATCTGTAAACCTTTTTTTCCTGTTAATTTGAACATTATCAGTTTGTTTTATAGACTGAAATAATTAAAGCTTCAAGGGAAATATTTAAAATTTCCTACAGAGAAAAGACAAATATATAGGTGACAAATAATATTTAGAGTGTAAGATGCTTTTTAAAGGTATATTTGCAATTTGTGTCAAAACATTTAAATATACATTTGTTACTTTAACTATAAAATTTCAAATAATTTAAGCTAAATACATAGTATATGCAGAAAATTTAGCCACATTTGTATGTAGTACCTTACTGTGCATTACTGTAACCAGCTGTCTAATATAAAGAACTAATTAAGGTAGCACCTACTTTTCAAATATCTCATTTTTTCACAGACCTATTAAATAAGACAAATAACATATAAACTTTGTTTTTAAATTTACAGAATAGTAGTTTTCAGAAGATGGTTTATTTTAGAAAATTCCATCTTCACATTGTGCTATGCTTTTATGAGTACCAGCTGTTAACGGATAATATTTTACTGCTGAACCTATCATGTGTGATATAATTGCTCATTATGTGCCTTAAAACACAAGCAATATAGTTATTTTCAACTTGCAGCAAATTAAAATCTTATCAGCCATTTAAAAACTCTGGAGTTGTCTTCTTCTGGTTAATTATTTTAAACTTGTATTTTTCTCTCTATGTTTTTAGTGAGTTGTCTTATCAAGGAGAAGAACTCAAGCTGATTATTCTTTTTTTCTCTTCCATCCACCTCGCAGGTGTGTTAATAATTTCATTTCTCAGACAATGTTCTTTCATATCCATCTTACAAGATGAGAGAGCTTTTAAAATCTTCCATTCGGATGTGATACGAGTAATGGAAAATATTCCAGCTTCATGAATATAGTGATACAAATAGTTATCCGTCTAACCTCTTTCAGTGCCAAATGTATACTTTAGTCAGTGAATTACTCAGTTGACTGGTAATTTCTTCTGAAATCACAAATGAGAGGATCAGAGGTCTGGCTGTTGTCTGTACCGCATATGACTCCCAGTGCAGACAATTGTTTCTATGGAGCACAGACAGTTTAAAGGATTGACTTCCTGCCTAGAATAATTTCTGTTCTGCTTCTTAACCTTCTTGTGGAGATTTCAGATTATCTGAATTGCTTTTCTATCTTAAGAAAAAACTCAACAATTCTGCCACCTGAGAGGAATGTAAACTGTAGTAAGTTAGCAGAACGAATCCGTAAAGTTTTTACACTGTGTTTTGTAAAATGCAGCTTTGGTGTCTCCATCACTAAACTTTTCTACCCCTCATTGCTCTTTCTTTGACTGCAATAGGATACCTCTAGGCAAATCTGTATTCCCGAGACAGAGTGCCGTTTTGGTTAGCTATAAGTAAACTCAATGGTAGGCGGAAATACTAGTTTTTATCTACGGCGAAATTCCATTCCACTACAGTCCATTCCACCCACTCCACTCCACGCTATTCAATTCCATTCCACCCCATTCCATTCCACTTCATTCCACTCCACTGCACTCCACTTCACCGCATTCCATTCCATTCCACTCCATTCCATTCCACTCCACTCCACTCCATTCCACTCCATTCCATTCCACTCCAATCCACTTCATTCCACTGCACTCCACTCCATACCACTCCACTCCATTCCACTCCATTCCACTCCATTCCATTCCATTCCATTGCACTCCATTCCATTCCATTCCATTCCATTCCATTCCATTCCATTCCATTCAATTGCACTCCATTCCATTCCATTCCATTCCACTCCTCTCAATTCCATTCCACTCCATTCCACTCCACTCCATTCCACTCCACTCAATTCCATTCCACTCCATTCCACTCCACTCCAATCCACTCCACTCCACTCCACTACATTGCATTACATTCCATTATAAATCCATTCCATTCCATTCCATTATAAATCCTTTCCATTCTCTTCCTTTCTTTCGACAGGATTTCACTCTGTCACCCAGGCTGGAGTGCAGTGCACAATCTCAGCTCACATTTCTTTTCACCATTCCATTCCATGCTATTGCATTGCATTCCATTCCACTCCACTCCACTCCGTACAATTCCATTCCTCCCCATTACATTCCACTCCACTACCTTCCACTTCAATCCAGTCCACTCCATTCAATTCCATTCTACCCCATTCCATTCCACTTCATTCCACTCCATTCCACTCCACTTCACTGCATTCCAATCGATTCCATTCGATGCCATTCGATTCCATTCCATTCAATTCCATTTGATTAAACTA
>NT_187385.1:107960-109363 GCF_000001405.40 Homo sapiens | reverse complement strand
TTTCATTCCACTTCACTCCACTCCACTCCACTCCGTTTAATTCCATTCCTTCCCATTCCATTCCACTCCATGCCATTCCACTCCAATCCACTCCATTGAATTCCATTCCACCCCATTCCATTCCAGTCCATTCCACTCCACTCCACAACATTTCACCGCATTCCATTCCATTCCGTTTGATTTCTTTTGATTCCATTCCATTCCATTCCACTCCACTTCACTCCACTCCATTGCACTGCACTCCATTCCTCTCCACTCCACTCCATTCCATTCCATTCCACTCCATTCCACTTCAGTCACGTCCATTCTACTCAATTCCACTCCACTGCATTCCACTCCACTCCACTGCACTCCATTCCATTCCACTCCACTCCATACCATTCCACCCCAGTCCATTCCATTCCACTCCAGTCCATTCCACTCCACTGCAGTCCATTCCACTCTACTCCATTCCATTCCATTCCACTCCACTTCACTTCACTCCACTCCACTCCACACTGCTCCATTCCACTCCACTCCATTCCACTCCATTCCATTCCACTGCACTCAACTCCCCTCCACTCCACTCCACTACACTATACTCCATTCCATTCCATTCCACACCTTTCCACTCCACTCCACCCCACTCCATTCCATTCCATTCCATAAGAATCCATACCACTCCATTTCACTCCACTCCACGCTACTCCACTCCACTCTAGTCCATTCCATTACATTCCATTTTAAATCTGTTCCATTCCATTCATTTCTTTTGACAGGATCTCACTAGGTCACCCAGGCTGGAGTGCAGCGCACAATCTCTGCTCACATTTCATTTCACCATTCCATTCCTTTGCATTCCACTTCACTCCACTAAAATCCACTCTGTTCAATTCCTTCCCATTCCGTTCCACTCTACTCCATGCCACTCCACTGCACTCCACTCCATTGAATTCTATTCCACCCCATTCCATTCCACTCCATTCCACCCTTCTCCACACCACTTCATCGCATTCCATTCCATTCCATTCCATTCCATTTGATTCCTTTCGATTCCACTCCATTTCATTCTGTTCCATTCCATTCCACTCCATTCCACTCCATTGCACTGCACTCCATAAGACTCCACTCCAATCCATTCCATTCCATTCCATTCCACTCCATTCCACTCCACTCCAGTCCATTCCACTCCATTCCACTCCACTCTATTCTACTCCACTCCACTCTACTGCACTCCATTCCATTCCACTCCACCCCATATCATTCCACTCAAGTCCATTCCATTCCACTCCAGTCCATTCCACTCCACTCTATTGCTTTCCACTCCACTCCATTCCATTCCACTCCACTTCACTTCACTCCACTCCTCTCCACTCTGCTCCATTCCACTCCACTCCACTCCTCTCCATTCCACTCCACTCCAC
>NT_187385.1:101923-107739 GCF_000001405.40 Homo sapiens | reverse complement strand
CATTCCATTCCATAACAATCTATACCACTCAATTCCACTCCACTCCACTCCACGCCACTCCACTCCACTCCATTACAATACATTCCATTGTAAATCCATTCCATTCCATTCCTTTCTTTCGATGGAATCTCGCTCTGTCACCCAGGCTGGAGTGCAGTGCACAATCTCAGCTCACATTTCATTTCACCATTCCATTCCATTCCATTCCATTGCATTCCATTCCACTCCACTCCACTCCACTCCGGTCAATTCCATTCCTTCCCATTTCATTCCATTCGATTCCATTCCACTCCACTCCACTCCATTGAATTCCATTCTACCCCATTCCATTCCACTCCATTCCACTCCACTCCATTCCACTTCACAGCATTCCATTCGATTCCATTTGATGCCATTTGATTCCATTTGATGCCATTCGATTCCATTTGATTCGATTCCATTCGAATCCATTTTTCCATTCGATTCCATTCAATTACATTAGATTCCATTTGACTCGATTCCATTCAATTTGATTCGATTCGATTTGATTCGATTCCATTCGATTCCATTCCATTCCATTCCACTCCACACCATTCCATTCCACTCCACTCCATTCCACTCAATTCCATTCCATTCCATTCCATTCCATTCCATTCCATTCCATTCCATTCTTTCTAAATCCATTCCATAGCATTCCTTTCTTTCGACAGGATCTCACTCTCTCACCCAGGCTGGAGTGCAGTGCACAATCTCAGCTCACATTTCATTTCACCATTCCATGCCATTCCATTCCATTGCATTCAATTCCTTTCCATTCCAATCCATTGCATTTCATTCCATTCCACTCCACTCCACTCCATTCCACTCCACTCAATTCCATTCCAGTCCACTCCATTCCACACCACTCCACTCCACTCCACTCCATTCCCTTTCATTCCAATCCACTCCACTCCATTCCACTCCATTTCACTAAACTCCACTCTACTCCACTCCACTCCACTCCATTCCACTCCACTCCATTCCATTCCATTCTACACATTTCCACTCCACTCCACTCCTCTCCATTCCTTTCCATCCCATTCCATTCCATTCCACTCCATTCCATTCCACTCCACTCTACCCCACAGCACTCCGTTCCACTCCATTGCATTCCATTCCATAACAATCCATACCATTCCGTTCCACTCCACTCCAGTCCATTCCACTGCACTCCACTGCACTCCATTCCGTTACATTCCATTCTAAATCCATTCCATTATATTCCATTCTGAATCCATTCCATTCCCTTCCTTTCTTTCAACAGGATCTCACTGTCTCACCCAGGCTGGAGTGCAGTGTGCAATCTCAGCTCACATTTCATTTCACCATTCTATTCAATTCTGTTCCATTGCATTTCATTCCACCCCACTCCACTCCCCTCCGTTCAATTCCATTCCTTCCCATTCCATTCCACTCCACTCCATTCTACTCCGTTCCACTCCACTCCATTCATTTCCATTCCATCCCTTTTCATTCCACTCCATTCAACTCCACTCCATTCCATTTCACCGCATTCCATTCGATTCCATTCCATTCATTTTCCTTCCATTGCATTTGAATCCATTCAATTCCGTTCAATTCCATTCCTTTCGATTCCATTCCATGGCATTCCATTCCATTCCATTCCACTCCATTCCATTTCGTTCTATTCCATTCCACTCAACTCAACTCTACTCCACTACACTCTACTCCATTCCACTCCACTCCATTCCACTGCACTACCATCCATTCCACTCAAATCCACTCCACTCCCCTCCTCTCCTTTCCATTCCATTCCATTCTACACCTTTCCACTTGACTCCACTCCACTCCACTCCAGTCCACTGCATTCCACACCACTCCATTTCACTCCATTTCACTGCACTCCAATCCACTCCACTCAACTACCCTCCACTCCACTCCTCTCTATTCCATTCCATTTCTTTCTACACCTTTCCACTCCACTCCACTCCACTCTACTCTGTTCCATTCCATCCCATTCCATTCCACTCGATTCCACTCCACTCCACGCCACTCCACTGCACTCCATTCCATTCCATTGCATAACTATCAAAACCACTCCATTCCACTCCACACCAATCCACTCCACCCCACTCCACTCCATTCCATTACATTCCATTCTAAATCCATTCTATTCTATTCCTTTCTTTCAACAGCATCTCACTGTGTCACCCAGGTTGGAGTTCAGTGCACAATGTGAGCTCACATTTCATTTCACCATTCTATTCCATTCCATTAAATTCCATTCCATTCCATTGCATTCCATTCCACTCCACTCCACTCCACTCCGTTCAATTCCATTCCTTCCCAGTGCATTCCACTCTACTCCATTCCACTCAACTGCACTCTACTTCATTCAATTCCATTCCACTCCATTCCTTTTGACTCCATTCCACTCCACTCCACTCCACTTCACCACATTTCATTCGAATCCATTTGATGCCATTTGATTCCATTCCATTCGATTCCATTCCATTCCATTCCATTCCATTCCATTCCATTCCATTCCATTGAATTCTGTTCCATTCGATTCGATTCCATTCCATTCCCTTCCATTACATTCCACTCCATTCCACTCCACTCCATTCCACTCGACTCCACTCCATTCCAGTCCATTCCACTCCACTCCATTCCACTCCACTCCACTCCACTCCATCTCACTCGATTCCATTCAATTCCATTCCACTCCATTCCATTATATTCCACTTCATTTCATTCCACTCCACTCCATTCCATTCCACTCCACTCCACTCCATTCCATTCCATTCCACTCCGTTGCAGCCCATTCCATTCCACTCCACTCCATTCCATTCCACTCCATTCAACTCCGCTGAACTCCACTCCACTCCAATCCACACCATTCCATTCCATTCCATTCCATTCTAAATCCATGCCATTCCTTTCCTTTCTTTCGAAAGGATCTCACTCTGTCACTCAGGCTGGAGTGCAGAGCAAAATCTCACCTCACATTTGATTTCACCATTCCATTCCATTCCATTGCATTACATTCCATTGTATTCCATTCCACTCCACTCCACTCCACTCTGTTCAATTCCACTCCTTCCCACTTTATTTCACTCCACTCCATTCCACCCCACTCCACTCTGCTCCATTCAATTCCATTCCACCCCATTCCATTCCTCTCCATTCCACTCCACTCCACTTCACCTCATTCCATTCAATTCCATTCGATGCCATTCGATTCCATTCCATTCCGTTTGATTTCATTCGATTCCATTCCATTCGGTTCCATTCCGTTCCATTTGATTCCAATCCATTCCATTCCATTCCGTTCCATTCCCTTCCACTTCATTCCACATCACTTCATTCCACTCCACTCCACTCCACTCTACTTCACTCCATTCCACTCCATTCCACTCCACTCCATTCCACTCCACTCCACTCTATTCCACTCCATTCCATTCCATTCCATTACAATCCATTCCACTCCATTCCAATCCACTCCACTCCAATCCACTCCATTCCATTCCATTCCACTCCACTCCATTGCACTCCATTCCAGTCCATTCCATTCCACTCCACTCCATTCCATTCCACTCCATTCCACTCCACTCAACTCCAATCCACTCCACTCCATTCCATTCTATTCCATTCTAAATCCATTCCATTACATTCCATTCTAAATCCATTCCATTCCCTTCCTTTCTTTCAAAAGGATCTCACTCTGTCACTCAGGCTGTAGTGCAGTACACCATCTCAGCTCACAATTCAACATTCCATTCCATTCCATTCCATTGCATTCCATTCCACTCCACTCCACTCCGTTCAATTCCATTCCTTCCCATTTCATTCCACTCCACTCCATTCCACCCCAATCCACTCTGCTCCATTCAATTCCATTCCACCCCATTCCATTCCACTCCATTCCACTCCACTCCACTTCACCGCATTCCATTCGATTCCATTCGATGCTATTCGATTCCGTTCCATTCAATTCTATTCCATTCTTTTGATTTCATTCGATTCCATTCCATTCGATTCCATTACATTCCGTTCGATTCCAATCCATTCCATTCCATTCCACTCCATTCCCTTCCATTCCATTGCATTGCATTGCATTCCATTCCATTCCATTCCTCTCCATTCCACTCCACTTCATTCCATTCCATTCCATTCCATTGCAATCCAAACCACTCCACTCCACTCCATTCCACCCCCTCCATTCCACTCCACTCCTCTCCATTCCATTCCACTCTCTTCCCCTACACTCCAGTCCACTCCACTCCACTCTCCTCCACTCCACAACATTGCATTCCATTCCACACCATAAGACTCCACTCCACTCCATTCCACTCCACTCCATTCGTTTTCATTCCATTACAGTCCATTCCATTCTACTCCAGTTAATTCCATCCCCTCCAGTGCATTCCACTCCACTCCATTCCATTCCACTGCACTCCATTCCATTCCAAGTCACTTCACTCCACTGCACTCCACTCCACTCCATTCTACTCCTCTCCACACCATTCCATTCCATTCCACTCCACTCAACTCCACTCCACTCCTTTCCAATCCATTCCATTCTACACCTTTGCACTCCACACCACTACACTCTACTCCTTTCTGTTCCATCCCATTCCATTGCACTCCATTCCACTCCACTTCATCCCACTCCACTTCACTCCACTCCACACCATTCCATTCCATAACAATACATTCCACTCCATTCCACTTCACTTCATCCCACTCCACTCCACTCCATTCCATTCCATTCCATAACAATACATTCCACTCCATTTCACTCCACTCCACTCCACCTCCAGCCACTCCAATTCCCTCCACTACATTCCATTACATTCCATTCTAAATCCATTCCATTCCATTCCTTTCTTTCGAAATGATCTCACTCTGTCACCCTGGCTGGAGTGCAGTGCACAATCTCAGCTCACCTTTCATTTCACCATTCCATTCCATTCCATTAAATTCCATTCCATTCCATTCCATTCCATTCCATTCCATTCTCCACTCCACTCCACTCCGTTCAAATCCATTCCTTCCCATTCCATTTCATTCCAATATATTCTACTCCTCTCAACTCCATTCAATTCCATTCCACCCCATTCCTTTCCACTCCATTCCACTCCACTCCAGTACATTTCATCGCATTCCATTCGGTTCTGTTCGATGCCACTCGATTCCATTCGAATCGATTCCTTTTGATTCCATTCAATTCCATTTTTTCCATTTGATTTCATTCTATCCCATTTGATTCCACTCGATTCCATTTGATTCGATTCGATTCAAAACCATTTGCTTCCATTTGATTCCATTCGATTCCATTTGATTCCATTCAATTCCATTCCATTTGATTCCTTTCCATTCCATTCCATTCCATTCCACTCCACTCATTCCATTCCACTCCACTCCATTCAATTCCATTCCTTCCCATTCCATTCCACTCCACTCAAATCCACTCCACTGCACTCCACTCCGTTCAATTCCATTCCACCCCCTTTCATTCCAATCCTTTCCACTCCACTCCACTCCTTTTCACCACATTCCATTTGATTCAATTCCATGCCATTCGATTCCATTCGATTCAATTCCATTCGATTCATTTCGATTCCATTTGTTCTATTCAATTCCATTCAATTCTATTTTGTTCCATTTGATTCAATTCGATTTGATTTGAGTCAGTTCGATTCGATTCGATTCCGTTCTATTCCATTCAGTTCCATTCCATTCCATTGCATTCCATTCCATTCAATTCCATTCCATTCCATTCCACTCCATTCCATTCCATTCCATTCCACTCCATTCCATTCCATTCCATTCCA
>NT_187385.1:95522-100113 GCF_000001405.40 Homo sapiens | reverse complement strand
TAACAATCCACACCACTCCATTCCACTTCACTCCACTCCATGTGACTCCACTCCACTCCACTAAATTCCCTTACATTCCACTCTAAATCCATTCCATTCCCGTCGTTTCTTTCTTCAGGATCTCATTCTGTCACCCAGTATGGAGTGCAGTGCACATTCTCAGCTCACATTTCATTTCACCATTCCATTCCATTCCATTGCATTCCATTCCACTTCACTCCACTCCACTCTGTTCAATTTCATTCCTTCCCATTCCATTCCATTCCACTCCATTCCACGACACTCCCCTCCACTCCATTCAAGTCCACTACACCCCATTCCTTTCCACTGCATTCCACTGCACTCCACTCCACTCCACACCATTCCACTCCACTCCTCTCCACTGCATTACATTACATTACATTGTAATTCCATTCCATTCCATTCCTTTCTTACGACAGGATCTCACTCTGTCACCCAGGTTGGAGTGCAGTGCACAATCTCAGCTCACATATCATTTCACCATAACAGTCCTTTACATCCAATTGCATTCCATTCCACACCACTCCACTCCACTACGTTCAATTCCATTCCTTCCCAGTCCATTCCACTCCACTCCATTCCACTCCACTTCACTCCACTCCATTAAATTTCATTCCAACCCATTCCATTCCACTCCATTCCACTCCACTCCTCACCACTCTATTTCACCACATTCCATTCAATTCCTTTCAATGCCATTCAATTCCATTCCATTTGATTCCATTCCATTCCATTCTATTCCGTTCCATTCAATTCCAATCCATTCCATTCCATTCCATTCCACTCCATTCCACTCCACTCCATTCCACTCCAGTCCATTCCACTCTATTCCACTCCATTCCCCTCCACTCCACTCCTTTCCATTCCCTTCCATTATATTCCATTCCACTCTATTCCATTCCATTCCTCTCAATTCCATTCCACTCCACTCCATTCCACTCCACTCCACTCAACTCCATTCCATGCCATTCCACCCCACTCCATTTCCCTTCTTTTCACTCCATTCCATTCTATTCCACTGCACTCTATTCCACTCCACTCCATTCCACTCCACTCCACTCCACTCCACTCCAGTCTACTCCATTCCATTACATTTCATTCTAAATCCATTCCATTATATTCCATTATAAATCCATTCCATTCCGTTCCTTTCTTTCGACAGGATCTCACTTTATCACCCAGGCTTGAGTGCAGTGTGCAATCTCAGCTCACATTTCATTTCACCATTCCATTCGATTCCATTCAATTGCATTTCATTCCACTCCACTCCATTCTGTTCAATTCCATTCCTTCCCATTCCATTCCACTCGACTCCACTCCACTCCATGGTAATCCACTCCACTCCACTCCATTCCATTACATTCCGTTTTAAATCCATTCAATTCCATTCCTTTCTTTTTACAGGATCTCACTAGGTCACCCAGGCTGCACTGCACTGCACAATCTCAGCTCACATTTCATTTCACCATTCCATTCCATTGCATTCCATTGCATTCCATTCCATTCCACTCCACTCCAATCCATTGAATTCCATTCCACTCCATTCCACTTCAGCATATTCCATTCAATTCAATTCAATGCAATTCGATTCCATTCGATTAGATTCCATTCAATTCCATTTGATTCCATTTTTTCCATTCGATTCTGTTTGATTCCATTTGATTCCATTCGATTCGATTCCATTCGATTCGATTTGATTCAATTCGAGTCGATTCGATTACATTCGATTGCATTCGATTCCATTCGATTCCATTCCACTCCAATCCATTCCACTCCACGCCATTGCGCTCCACTCCATTCCACCTCATACCATTCCATTCCATTTCATTCCATTCCATTCTAAATCCATTCCATTTCATTCCTTTCTTCTGACAGGATCTCACTCTCTCACCCAGGCTGGAATGCAGTACACAATCTCAGCTCACATTTCAATTCACCATTCCATGTCATTCCATTCCATTTCATTCCATTCCATTTCATTCCATTCCACTCCATTGCATTCCATTTCATTCCACTCCACTCCACTCCATTCCACTCCACTCCATTCCATTCCATTCCAGTCCACTCTCTTCCACTCCATTCCACTCCCTTTCATTCCAATCCACTCCACTCCATTGCACTCCATTCCACGAAACTCCACTCCACTCCATTCCACTCCACTCCACTCCATTCCACTCCATTCCATTCCACTTCACTCAATTCCAATCCACTCCATTCCATTCCATTCCATTCCATTGCATTCCATTCCATTCCATTCCATTCTACACCTTTCCACTCACTTCACTCAACTCAACTCCATTCCATTCCATCCCATTCCATTCCACTCCATTCCACTCCACTCCACTCCACCCCACAGCACTCCACTCTACTCCATTGCATTCCATTCCATAACAATCCATAGCATTCCATTCAACTCCACTCCGCTCCACTCCACGCCACTCCACTCCATTCCATTACATTCCATTGTAAATCCATTCAATTCCCTTCCTTTCTTACGACAGGATCTCACTCTCTTACCCAGGTTGGAGTGCAGTGAACAATCTCAGCTCACATATCATTTCACCATTCCAGTCCATTCCATTCCATTGCATTCCATTCCACACCACACCACTCCACTCCACTCCGTTCAATTCCATTCCTTCCCAGTCCATTCCACTCCACTCCATTCCACTCCACTTCACTCCCCTCCATTAAATTTCATTCCACCCCATTCCATTCCACTCCATTCCACTCCACTCCACTTCACTACATTCCCTTCAATTCCATTCAATGCCATTCAATTCCATTCCATTCGATTCCATTCCTTTCCATTCTATTCCATTCCATTCAATTCCAATCCATTCCATTCCATTCCACTCCATTCCACTCCACTCCACTCCACTCCATTCCACTCCATTCCACTCCACTCCACTCCATTCCATTTCCTTGCATTATATTCCATTCCACTCCATTCCATTCCATTCCATTCCATTCCACTCAATTCCATTCCACTGCACTCCACTCCATTCCACTCCACTCCGCTTGACTCCATTCCATGCCATTCCACCCCACTCCATTTCACTTCTTTTCACTCCATTCCTTTCAATTCCATTCCATTCCATTCCATTCCACTCCACTCCATTCCACTCCATTCCATTCCACTCCAATCCACTCCACTCCAGTCTACTCCATTCCATTACATTCCATTCTAAATCCATTCCATTATATTGCATTCTAAATCCATTCCATTACCTTCCTTCCTTTTGACAGGATCTCACTCTTTCTCCCAGGCTGGAGTGCAGTGCGCAATCTCAGCTCACATTTCATTTCACCATTCCATTCAATTCCATTCCACTGCATTTCATTCCACTCCACTCCGTTCAATTCCATTCCTTCCCATTCCATTCCACTACCCTCCACTACACTCCACGCCATGCTAATCCACTCCACTCCACTCCATTCCATTACATTCTATTTTAAATCCATTCACTTCCATTCCTTTCTTTTGACAGGATTGCACTAGGTCACCCAGGCTGCATTGCACTGCAGAATCTCAGCTCACATTTCATTTCACCATTCCATTCCATTCCATTAAATTGCATTCCATCCCACTCCATTACATTGCATTCCATCCCACTCCACTCCACTGCACTCCGTTCAATTCCATTCCTTCCCATTCCATTCCACTTCATTCCACTCCACTCCATTCCAGTTCTCCATATTCCGTTCGATTCCATTCGATGCCATTCAATTCCATTTGATTTGATTCCATTTGATTCCATTTTTTCCATTCGATTCCATTCAATTCCATTCGATTCCATTTCATTCTATTCCATTCGATTTGATTCTATTCCATTTGATTCCATTCCATTCCATTCCACTCCACTCCACTCCATTCCACTCCTCTCCATTCCACCCCATTCCATTCCACTGCATTCCATTCCATTTCATTTCATTCCATTCGATTCTAAATCCATTCCATTCCATTCTTTTCTTTCGACAGGATCTCATTCTCTCACTCAGGCTGGAGGGCAGTGCACAATCTCAGCTCACATTTCTTTTCTCCATTCCATGCCATTCCACTCCATTGCATTCGAATCCATTCCATTCCACTCCATTGCATTCCATTCCATTCCACTCTACTCCACTCCATTCCGCTCCACTCCATTCCATTCCAGTCCACTCCATTCCATTCCACTCCACTCCACTCCACTCCTTTTCACTGGAATCCACTCCACTCCATTCGACTCCATTCCAGTAAACTCCACTCCACTCCATTCCACTCCACACCATTCCACTCCATTCCATTCCACTCCACTCCACTCCACTCCATTCCACTCCATTCCATTCCATTCTACACCTTTCCACTCCACTCCACTCAACTCCACTCCATTCCATTCCATCACATTCCATTCCACTCCTTTCCACTCCACTCCACTCCACCCCACAGCACTCCACTCCACTCCATTGAATTCCATTCCATAACAATCCATACCATTCCGTTCCACTCCACTCCACTCCACGCCACTCCACTCCACTAAACTCCATTCCATTACATTCCATTGTAAATCCATTCCATTCCTTTCCTTTC
>NT_187385.1:91816-93477 GCF_000001405.40 Homo sapiens | reverse complement strand
ACTCCATTCCACTCCACTCCATTCCACTCCACTCCACTCCATTCCATTACATTCCATTTCAAATCCATTCCATTCCATTCCTTTATTTTGAGAGGTTCTCACTAGGTCACCCAGGCTGGAGTGCAGTGCATAATCTCAGCTCACATTTAATTTCTCCATTCCATTCCATTGCATTCCATTCCACTTCAATCCCCTCCACTCCACTCCGTTCAATTCCATTCCTTCCCATTCCATTCCACTCCATGCCATTCCACTCCACTCCACTCTATTGAATTCCATTCCACCCCATTCTATTCCAGTCCATTCCACTCCACTCCACAACATTTCAATGCATTCCATTCCATTCTATTCCATTCCATTCCATTTGATTTCTTTCGATTCCATTCTATTCCATTCCATTCCACTCCCCTTCACTCCACTCCATTGCACTGCACTCCATTCCACTCCACTCCACTCCATTCCATTCCACTCCATTTCACTCCAGTCAGTTCCATTCTACTCCATTCCACTCCACTGCATTCCACTCCAGTCAGGTCCATTCTACTCCATTCGTCTCCACTGCATTCCACTCCACTCCACTGCACTCCATTCCATTCCACTCCACTCCATACCATTCCAACCCAGTGCATTCCATTCCATTCCAGTCCATTCCACTAAATGGCAGCCCATTCCACTCCACTCCTTTCCATTCCACTCCACTCCATTCCATTCCACTCCACTGCACTTCACTGCACTCCACTCCACTCCATTCCACTCCACTCCACTCCCTTCCATTCCACTGCACCCAACTACCCTTGACTCCACTCCGCTCCACTATACTCCATTCCATTCTACACCTTTCCACTCCACCCCACTCCACTCCATTCCATTCCATCCCATTCCATTACACTCCATTACACTTCACTCCACTTCACCCCACTCCACTCCATTCCATTCCATTCCATTCCATTCCATAAGAATCCATACCACTCCATTCCACTGCACTCCACTCCACTCCACGCAACTCCACTCCACTCCAGTCGATTCCATTACATTCCATTTTACATCTGTTCCATTCCATTCGTTTCTTTTGACAGGATCTCACTAGGTCACCCAGGCTGGAGTGCACTGCACAATCTCAGCTCACATTTCAATTCACCATTCCATTCCACTGCATTCCACTTCACTCCACTAAACTCCACTCTGTTCAATTACTTTCCTTCCCATTCCATTCCACTCCACTCCATGCCACTAAACTGCACTCCACTCCATTGGATTCTATTCCACCCCGTTCCATTCCACTCCTCTCCACACCATTTCATCGCATTCCATTCCATTCCACTTGATTCCCTTCAATTCCATTCCATTTCATTCCGTTCCATTCCATTCCACTCCACTCCATTGCACTGCACTCCATGCCACTCCACTCCAATCCATTCCATTCCATTCCACTCCATTCCACTACACTGCAGTCCTTTCCACTTCATTCCACTCCACTCCACTCTACTCCACTGCACTCTACTGCACTCCATTCCATTCCATTCCACTCCATACCATTCATCTCCAGTCCATTCCATTCCACTCCATTCCATTCCACTCCACTCCATTCCATTCCACTCCACTTCACTTCACTCCACTCTGCTCGATTCCACTCCACTCCACTCTTCTCCATTCCACTCCAT
>NT_187385.1:90504-91791 GCF_000001405.40 Homo sapiens | reverse complement strand
CCATTCCTTTGATTCCAATCCATTCCATTTGATTCCAATCCATTCCATTCCATTCCACTCCACTCCACTCCATTCCACTCCACTCCACTCCATTCCATTCCCTTTCATTATATTGCATTCCACTCCATTCCATTCCATTCCACTCAATTCCATTCCTCTCCACTCCACTCCATTTCACTCCACTCCGCTCAACTGCATTCTATGCCATTCCACCCCACTCCATTTCACTTCTTTTCACTCCATTCCATTCCATTCCAATCCGTTCCACTCTACTCCATTCCACTCCACTCCACTCCAGTCTTCTCCATTCCATTACCTTCCATTTTAAATCCAATCCATTATATTCCATTCTAAATCCATTCCATTCCCTTCCTTTCTTTCGACAGAATCTCACTCTGTCACCCAGGCTGGAGTTCAGTGCGCAATCTCAGCTCACATTTCATTTCAGCATTCCATTTGATTCCATTCCATTGCATTTCATTCCACTCCACTCCACGCCACTCCACTCCGTTCAATTCCATTCCTTCCTATTCCATTCCACTCCACTCCATTCCACTCTACTCCACTCCATTCATTTCTATTCCACCCCTTTTCATTCCACTCCATTCAAATCCACTCCACTCCATTTCACCACATTCCATTCGATTCCATTCCATTCATTTCCATTCCATTGCATTCGACTCCATTCAATTCCATTCGATTCCATTCCATTCGATTCCATTCCATTCGATTCCATTCCATTCCATTCCATTCCATTCCATTCCATTGCCTTCCATTCCATTTCACTCCATCCCGTTTCATTCTATTCCATTCCACTCCACTCCACTCTACTGCAATACACTCCACTCCATTCCACTGCACTCCAATCCACTCCACTAAATTCCACTCCACTTCTCTCCACTCCATTCCATTCTACACCTTTCCACTCCACTCCACTTCACTGCATTTCAATCGTTTCCATTCGATGCCATTCTATTTGATTTGATTCAATTTGATTCCGTTCCATTCCATTTGATTACATTCCATTCCTCTCCATTCCATTCCACTCCACTCCACTCCACTCCATTCCACTCCACTCCATTCAACTCCATTCCACTGATTCCACTGCACTCCAATCCACTCCACTCAACTCCAACCACTCTACTCCACTCCATTCCACTCCATTCTACACCATTCCACTCCACTCCACTCCATTACATTCCGTTCAACTCCATTCCACTGCACTACACCCCACTCCAGTCCACTGCATTCCATTCCATTCCATAAAAATCCATACCACTCCATTCC
>NT_187385.1:0-88661 GCF_000001405.40 Homo sapiens | reverse complement strand
ATTCCATTCTACACATTTCCTATCCACTCCACTCCATTCCATTCCATCCCATTCCATTCCACTCCATTCCAGTCCTCTCCATTCCACCCCACTCCACTCCATTCTATTCCATAACAATCCATACCACTCCATAGCACTGCACTCCACTCCACTCCACGCCACTCCATTCCATTCTAAATCCATTCCATTCCATTCCTTTCTTTTGACAGGATCTCACTCTATCACCCAGGCTGCACTGAAGTGCACAATCTCAGCTCACATTTCATTTCACCATTCCATTCCATTCCATTCGATTCCATTGCATTGCATTGCATTCCACTCTACTCCACTCCACTCCGGTCAATTCCATTCCTTCCCATTCCATTCCATTCGATTCCATTCCACTCCACTCCACTCCATTGAATTCCATTCCACTGCATTCCATTACACTCCATTCCATTCCACTCCATTTCACTTAACCACATTCCGTTCGATTCCATTTGATGCCATTCGATTCCATTTGATTCAATTTCATTTGAATCCATTTTTTCCATTCGATTCCATTTCATTCCATTCGATTCCATTCGACTCAATTCCACTCAATTCGATTCGATTCAATTCCATTCCATTCGATTCCATTCAACTTGATTCCAGTAAATTCGATTCGATTCCATTCAATTCCATTCCATTCCACTCCACTCCACTCCATTCCACTCCACTCCATTTCACTCCATTCCATTCCATTCCATTCCATTCTTTCTAAATGCATTCCATTTCATTCCTTTCTTTCGACAGGATCTCACTCTCTCACCCAGGCTGGAGTGCAGTGCACAATCTCAGCTCACATTTCATTTCACCATTCCATGCCATTCCATTCCATTGCATTCAATTCCTTTCCATTCCAATCCATTGCAGTCCATTCCATTCCACTCCACTCCACTCCACTCCACTCCCTTTCATTCCAATCCACTCCACTCCATTCCACTCCACTCCACTCCACTCCCTTTCATTCCAATTCATTCCACTCCACTCCACTCCACTCCACTCTACTCCACTCCACTCCACTCCACTCAATTCCACTCCACTCCATTCCATTCCATTCTACATATTTCCACTCCACTCCACTCCTCTCCATTCCATTCCATCCCATTCCATTCCACTCCACTCCATTCCACCCCACAGCACTCCATTCCACTCCATTGCATTCCATTCCGTAACAACTCATCCCATTCCGTTCCACTCCACTCCAGTCGTCCATTCCACTCCACTCCACTGCACTCCATTCCGTTACATTCCATTCTAAATCCATTCCATTATATTCCATTCTAAATCCATTCCATTATATTCCATTCTAAATCCATTCTATTCCTTTCCTTTCTTTCGACAGGATCTCACTGTCTCACCCAGGCTGGAGTGCAGTGTGCAATCTCATTTCACATTTCCTTTCACCATTCCATTCGATTCTGTTCCATTGCATTTCATTCCACTCCACTCCACTCCCCTCCATTCAATTCCATTCCTTCCCATTCCATTCCACTCCACTCCATTCTACTCCACTCCACTCCATTCATTTCCATTCTATCCCTTTTCATTCCACTCCATTCAACTCCACTCCACTCCATTTCACCGCATTCCATTCGATTCCATTCCATTCATTTCCATTCCAATGCATTTGAATCCACTCAATTCCGTTCGATTCCATTCTATTCGATTCCATTCCATTCCCTTCGATTCAATTCCATTGCATTCCATTCCATTCCATTACATTACATTACATTCCCTTCCATTTCATTCTATTCCATTCCACTCAATTCCACTCCACTACAGTCTACTCCATTCCACTCCACTCCATTCCTCTCTTTTCCATTCCATTCCATTCTACACCTTTCCACTCGACTCCACTCCACTCCACTCCATTTCACTTCATTTAACTGCACTCCAATCCACTCCACTCAACTGCCCTCCACTCCACTCCTCTCCATTGCATTCCATTTCTTTCTACACCTTTCCACTCCACTCAACTCCACTCTACTCTCTTCCATTCCATCCCATTCCATTCCACTCGATTCCACTACACTCCACACTACTCCACTCCACTCCATTCCATTCCATTGTATAACTATCCAAACCACTCCATTCCACTCCATGCCACTCCACTCCACTCCATTCCATTACATTCCATTGTAAATCCATTCTATTCCATTCCTTTCTTTTGACAGGATCTCACTGTGTCACCCATGTTGGAGTGCAGTGCACAATCTGAGCTCACATTTCATTTCACCATTCCATCCCATTCCGTTGCATTCCATTCCACTCCACTCAACCCCACTCTGTTCAATTCCATTCCTTCCCAGTCAATTCCACTCCACTCCATTCCACTCCACTGCACTCTACTTCATTCAATTCCATTCCACCCCATTTTTTTGACTCCATTCCACTCCACTCCACTCCACTTCACCACATTTCATTCGAATCCATTCGATGCCATTCCATTCCATTCCATTCTGTTCCATTCCATTCCATTGAATTCTGTTTCATTCGATTCCATTCCATTCCATTCCCTTCCATTACATTCCACTCCATTCCACTCTACTCCATTCCACTCCACTCCACTCCACTCCATTACACTCTAATCCACTCCATTCCACTCCACTCCATTACACTCTACTCCACTCCATTCCATTCAATTCCATTCCACTCCATTCCATTATTTTCCACTCCATTTCATTCCACTCCACTCCACTCCATTCCATTCCACTCCATTGCACTCCATTCCATTCCATTCCACTCCACTCCATTCCATTCCACTCCATTCAACTCCGCTGAATTCCACTCCACTCCAATCCACACTATTCCATTCCATTCCATTCTAAATCCATTCCATTACATTCCTTTCTAAATCCATTCCATTATGTTCCTTTCTTTTGAAAGGATCTCACTCTGTCACTCAGGCTGGAGTGCAGTGCACAATCTCAGCTCACATTTGATTTCACCATTCCATTCCATTCCATTCCATTCCACTCCATTCCATTCCATTCCATTCCATTCCATAGTATTCCATTCCACTCCCCTTCACTGCACTCCACTCCGTTCAATTCCATTCCTTCCCATTCCATTCCACTCCACTCCATTCCACCCCACTCCACTCTGCTCCATTCAATTCCATTCCACCCCATTCCATTCCCCTCCATTCCACTCCTCTCCACTCCACTTCACTGCATTCCATTCGATTCCATTCGATGCCATTCGATTCCATTCCATTCTATTGTATTCCATTCCATTTGATGCCATTCGATTCCATTCCATTCGATTGTATTCCATTCCATTTGATTTCATTCGATTCCATTCCATTCGGTTCCATTCCATTCCATTTGATTCCAATCCATTCCATTCCAATCCATTCCATTCCACTTCATTCCACGTCACTTCATTCTACTCCACTCCACTCCACTCCACTCCACTCCACTTCACTCCATTATACTCCATTCCACTCCACTCCATTCCACTCCACTCCACTACATTCCACTGCATTCCATTCAATTCCATTCCACTCCATTCCATTCCATTCTATTCCACTCCACTCCACCCCATTCCACTGCACTCCACTCCACTTCATTCCCTTCCATTCCACTCCACTCCATTGCACTCCATTCCAGTCCATTCCATTCCACTTCACTCCATTCCATTCCACTCCATTCCACTCCACTCCACTCCACTCCACTCCACTCCAATCCACTCCTTTCCATTCTATTCCATTCTGAATCCATTCCATTACATTCCATTCTAAATCCATTCCATTCCTTTCCTTTGTTTCAAAAGGATCTCACTCTGTCACTCAGGCTGGAGTGCAGTGCACCGTCTCAGCTCACATTTTACCATTCCATTCCATTCCATTCCGTTTCATTCCATTCCACTCCACTCTACTCCACTCTGTTCAATTCCATTCCTTCCCTTTTCATTCCACTCCACTCCATTCCACCCCACTCCACTCTGCTCCATTCAATTCCATTCCACCCCATTCCATTCCACTCCATTCCACTCCACTCCACTTCACCGCATTCCATTCGATTCCATTCGATGCTATTCGATTGCTTTCCATTCAATTCTATTACATCCATTTGATTTCATTCGATTCCATTCCATTCCTTTCTTTCAAAAGGATCTCACTCTGTCACCCAGGCTGGAGTGCAGTGCACAATCTCAGCTCACCTTTCATTTCACCATTCCATTCCATTAAATTCCATTCCATTCCATTCCATTCCATTCCATTCCATTCCATGCCACTCCACTCCACTCAACTCCACTCCACTCCGTTCAAATCCATTCCTTCCCATTCCGTTCCATTCCAATGCATTCCACTCCTGTCCGCTCCATTCAATTCCATTCCACCCTATTCCATTCCACTCCATTCCATTCCACTCCAGTACATTTCATCGCATTTCATTTGATTCTGTTCGATGCCACTCGATTCCATTCAATTCGACTCCATTCGATTCCATTCAGTTTCATTTTTTCCATTTGATTTCATTCTATTCCATTCAATTCCACTCGATTCCATTTGATTTGATTTGTTTCAATTTGATTCGAAACCATTTGATTCCATTCGATTCCTTTCAATTCCATTCCATTCCATTCCATTCCATTCCATTCCATTCCATTCCATTCTATTCGATTCCATTCCATTTCATTTCATTCCACTCCACTCAATTCTACTCCACTCCATTCAATTCCATTCGTTCCCATTCCATTCCACTACACTCAATTCCACTGCACTGCACTCCACTCCATTCAATTCCATTGCACCCCATTTCATTCCAATCCTTTCCACTCCACTCCACTCCTTTTCACCGCATTGCTTTTGATTCTATTCCATGCCATTCGATTCCATTCGATTCGGTTCCATTCGATTCATTTTGATTCCATTTGTTCTATTTGATTCCATTCAATTCCATTCTATTCCATTTGATTCGATTTGACTTGATTTGAGTAGATTTGATTCGATTCGATTCCATTCCATTCCAGTCAGTTCCATTCCACTCCAGTGCGTTCCATTCCTTTCCATTTCATTCCATTCCATTCCATTCCACTCCATTGCATTCCACGCCACTCCATTCCACCCCACTCCATTCCATTCCACTCCATTCCACTGCATTCCACTCCATTCCACTCCACCCCATTCCATTCCATTCCACTCCAAACGATTCCACTCCATTCCACTCCATTTCATTCCATTCCATTCCACTCCACTCAATTCCATTCCACACAATTCCACTCCACTCCACTCCAATCCAATTCACGCCACTCCATTCCATTCCATTCTAAATCTATTCCATTCTCTTCCTTTCTTTCGACAGGATCTCACTCTTTCACCCTGGCTGGAGTTAGTGCACAATCTCAACTCACATTTTATTTCACCTTTCCATTCCATTCCATTCTATCGCATTACATTCCACTCCACTCCAGTCCACTCCATTCAATTCCATTCCACCCCAGTCCATTCCACCACATTCCATGACACTCCTCTCCAGTTCACCACATTCGTTTCAATTCCATTCGATGTCATTTGATTCCATTCCATTCGATTTCATTCCACTCAATTCCATTCGTTTCCATTTGATTCCAATCCATTCGTTTCCCTTGCATTCCATGCCATTCCATTCCAATCCATTCCATTGCATTCCGTTCCATTCCATTCCACTCCATTCCATACCAATACATTCCATTCCATTCCATTCCATTCCAATCCATTCCATTCCATTCCACTCCATACCACTCCACTTCACTCCATTCCACTGCATTCCACTTCAATCCATTCCATTCCACTCACGTCCATTCCATTCCACTCCAGTCAATTCGAATCCACTGCAGTCCATTCCACTCCACTTCACTCCACTCTGCTCCACTCCATTCCATTCTACAGCCCTCCACTCCATTCCACTCCACTCCATTCCATTCCACTCCACTCAACTCCACTCCCCTCCCCTCTGCTCCATTCCACTCCATTCCATTCTGCACCTTTCTACTCCACTCCACTCAATTCCACTCCACCCCACTGCACTCCACTCAACTCCATTCCATTCCATTCCATAACAATCCAAACCACTCCGTTCCACTCCACTCCACGCCACTCCAATCCACTCCACTCCATTCCATTCCATTCCATTCTAAATCCATTCCATTCCATTCATTTCTTTCAACAGGATTTCACTCTGTCACCCAAGCTGGAGTGCAGTGCACAGTCTCAGCTCACATTTCATTTCACCATTCCATTCCATTCCATTCCATTGCATTCCATTTCACTCCACGCCACTCCACTTGGTTCAATTCCATTCCTTCCCATTCCATTCCGTTCCACTCCATTCCACTCCACTCCCCTCCATTCAATTCAATTCCTCCCCATTCCATTCCACTCCATTCCTGTCCACTGCTTTCTACTTTATAGAATTCCATTCGATTCCCTTCAATGCCATTCTATTCCATTCAGTTCGATTCAATTCGATTCCGTTCCATTCCATTTTTTCCATTTGATTCTGTTCAATTCCATTCAATTCCATTTGATTTAATTCTATTCGATTCGATTTAATTAGATTAGATTGGATTCGATTTGATTCTATTCGATTCCATTCCATTCCACTCCACTCCACTCCATTCCATTCCATTCCATTTTATTCCATTCTAAATCCATTCCATTCCATTCCATTCCATTCCTTTCTTTTGACAGGATCTCACCCTCTCACCCAGGCTGGAGTGCAGTGCACAATCTCAGCTCACATTTCATTTCACCATTCCATTCCATTGCATTCCATTCCATTCCATTACACTCCATTGCATTCCATTGCATTCCATTCCACTCCACTCCACTCTGTTCAATTCCATTCCTTCACATTCCATTCCACTGCCCTCCATTCCCCTCCACTCCACTCCATTGAATTCCATTCCATCCCATTACATTCTACTCCATTCCACACCACTCCAGTCCACTCCAATCCACTCCACTGCACTCCATTCCACTCCACTCTACTGCACTCCATTCCATTCCACTCCAGTCCATTCCATTCCACTCCAGTCAATTCCACTGCACTCCAGTCATTCTACTCCACTCCGTTCCATTCCATTCCACTTCACTCCCCTCCACTCCACTCGACTCTGCTCCTTTCCACTCCACTCAACTCCATTCCACTCCATTCCCTTCCACTGCAATCAACACCCCTACACTCCACTCCACTATATTCCATTCCATTCCATTCTACAACTTTCCACTCCAGGCCACTACACTCCAATCCATTCCATCCCATTCCATTCCACTCTATTCCACTCCATTCTACTCCATTCCACTCCACCGCACTACAATCCACTGCATTCCATTACATTCCATTGAAAATCCATTCCATTCCATTCCTTTCTTCCAACAGGAACTCACTCTGTCACCAAGGCTGGAGTGCAGTGCATAATCTCAGCTCACATTTCATTACACCTTTCCATTCCATTCCATTCCAATCCATTCCATTCCATTCCTTTGAATTCCATTCCATTCATTCCATTCCATTCCATTCTACTCCACTCCACCCCACTCCACTCCATTCCACTCCACTCCATTCTACTCCACTCCATTCCAATCCAATCAACTCCACTCCACTCCATTCAACTCCATTCCATTCCATTTCATTCTACACCTTTCCACTCCACTCCACACTGTTCCATTCGATCCCATTCCATTCCACTTCATTCCACTAAACTCCATTCCACCCCACTCCACTCCACTCCATTCCATTCCATTCCATAACAATCCATACCACTCCATTCCATTCCACTCCACTACACCTATTCCATTCCATTCCATTCCATTCCATTTCTATTCCATTCCATTCCATTCCATTCCATTCTAAGTCCATTCTATTCCATTCCTTTCTTTCGACAAGATCTCACTCTGTCACGCAGGCTGGAGTGCAGTGCACAATCTCAACTCATATTTCATTTCACCATTCCATTCCATAACAATCCATACCACTCCATTCCATTCCACTCCACACCACTCCAATCCACTACACTCCATTCCATTACATTCCATTCTAAGTCCATTCCATTCCAGTCCATTCTATTCGACTCCATTCCATTCCATTCCATTCCATTCGATATCTTTCCATTACACTCAATTCCATTCTATTCCTTTCCAATCCTTTCAATTCCATTTCATTCGATTCCATTCCATCTGATTCCATTCCATTCGACTCCATTCCATTCCATTTTATTCTGTTCCGTTTGATTCCAATCCGTTCGATTCCATTTTTTTCAAGTCCAATCCATTCGAGTCCACTCCATTCCAATCCATACCATTTGATTCCATTCCATTTTATTCTGTTCCGTTTGATTCCAATCTGTTCCATTCCATTTTTTTCAAGTCCAATCCATTCGAGTCCATTCCATTCCAATCCATACCATTTGATTCCATTCCATTCAATTCCATTCCATTCGATTCCAATCCACTCGATTCCACTCCGTTCCATTCCTTTGCATTCCATTCAATTCCATTCCATTGCTTTCCATTCCATTCCATTTGATTCCATTCCATTCTATTCCATTCCATTCGATTCAATTACATTGCAATGCATTACATTCGAGTCCCTTCTCTTCCACTCCATTCCGTTCCGGTCCAGTCCATTTGATTTCTTTCCATTCGATTCCATTCCATACTATTGCATTCCATTCGATTCCATTCTATTCGAATAAATTCCTTTCGAGACAATTCCTTTCCAGTCCATTTTATTTGAGTCCATTCCATTCCAGTCCATTCCATTTCAGTCCATTCCATTCCATTCCATTCCATTCGATGCCACTCCATTCGATTCTATTAAATTCTAGTACATTCCGTTAGAATCCACTCCTTTCCATTCCACTCCATTCATTGCCATTCCATTCGATTCTATTCCCTTCGTCTCCATTCCATTCCATTCCATTCCATTTCTTTCGAGTCCATTCCTCTCCAGTCCATTCAATTCAAGTGTTTCCATTCCAGTCCATTCCATTCGTGTCCACTCCATTCCATTCCATTCCATTCGATGTCTTTCCATTATACTCCATTCCATTCTCTTTCTTTCATTTAAATTCAATTCCATTCTATTCGATTGCATTCCATTTGATTCCATTCCATTCGACTTCATTCCACCTGAGTCCATTTCATTCCATGCCATTCCATTCCATTCCATTCCGTTCGATTCCAATCCGTTGGATTCCATTTTTATCCAGTCCATTCCATTCGAGTCCATTTCATTCCAGTCCATTACATTGGATTCCATTCCATTCGATTCCATTTAAATCAATTCCACTCCATTCCATTCTATTGCATTCCAATCTATTCTATTCCATTGCATTCCATTCCATTCAGTTTGATTCCATTCCAAGTGATTCCATTCCATTCGACTCAATTACATTGTAATTCATTACATTCGAATCCATTCTATTACAGTCCATTGCATTCTGGTCCATTCCATTCAATTCCATTCCATTCGATTCCATTCCATACTATAGCATTCCATTCGAATCCATTCTATTCGAGTCAATAACATTCGAGACCATTGCTTTCAAGTCCATTCTATTTGAGTCCATGCCATTTGAGTCCATTGCATTTGGGTCCATTCCATTCCATTCCATTCCATTCCATCCCATTCCATTCCATTCCATTCCATTCCATTCGATGCCATTCCATTCGAATCTATTGCATTTGGGTCCATTCCATTCCATTCCATTCCACTGAATTCCATTCCATTCCATTCCATCTGACTCCATTCCATTCTATTCCAATGCATTCAATTCCATTCAATTCCATTCGTTTCCATTCAATTCTAGTCCATTCCATTCGATTCCATTCGATTCCAGTCCATTCCATTCGAGTCCATTCCTTTCCATACCATTGCAATCGATATCTTTCCATTAAACTCCATTCCATTCTATTCCTTTTGATTTCATTCAATTCCATTCCATTCGATTCCATTCCATTTGACCCCCTTCCATTCGAGTCCATTCCATTCCATTCCATTCCATTCTGTTCGATACCAATCCATTCGATTCTATTTTGTTCCAGTCCACTCCATTCGAGTCCATTCAATTAAAGTCCATTCCATTCGATTCCATTCCACTCGATTCCACTCCGTTCCATTCCATTGCATTCCATTCTATTCCATTCCATTGCATTCCATTCCATTCCATTTGATAATATTCCATACGATTCCATTCCATTCAAATCAATTACATTGCAATCCATTACATTTGAGTTCACTCTATTTCAGTCCATTCCATTCCAGTCCAATCCATTCGATTCCATTCCATTCAATTCCATTCCATACTATTGCATTCTATTCGATTCCATTGTATTCTAATAAATTCCAATCGAGACCATTGCTTTCGTGTGCATTCTATTTGAGTCCATTCCATTTGAGTATATTACATTTGGGTCCTTTCCACTCCATTGCATTTCATTTCATTCCATTCCATTCAATGACATTCCATTCAATTCTATTCCATTCGAATAAATTCCATTCGATTCCATTCCATTCCATTGCATTTCATTCCATTCAATGCCATTCCATTCGATTCTATTCCATTAGACTCCATTCTATTCCATTCCATTCCATCCGATTCCATTCCATTCTGTTCTTTCCATTCCATTCCATTCTATTCCATTCCATTCCATTCTTTTCCAATCCATTAGAGTCCATTCCACTCCAGTCTTTTCCATTCAATTCCATTTCCTTCCTGTCCATTCCATTCCATTCCATTCCATTCCATTCTGTATATTTCCATTACACTCCATTCCATTCTATTCCTTGCGATTCCATTCAATTCCATGCCATTCTATTCCATTCAATTTGATTCCATTCCATTTGACTCCATTCCTTTCGAGTCCATTAAATTCCATTCCATTACATTCCATTTCGTTAGATTCCAATCAATTCCATTCCATTTTGTTCCAGTCCATTCCTTTCGATTCCATTCCATTTGATTCCATTCCATTTGATTCCATTCCATTCAATTCCATTCCCTTCTATTCCATTCCACTCTATTCCACTCTGTTCCATTTCAGTGCATTCCAATCTATTTCATTCCATTGCATTCCATTCCATTCTATTTGATTACACCTCATTTGATTCCATTCCGTTTGAATCAATTACATTGAAATCCATTGTATTCGAGTCCCTTCTATTTCAGTCCATTCCATTCCAGTCCATTCCATTCGATCCAGTTCCATTTGATTCCATTCAATACTGTTGCATTACATTAGATTCCATTCTATTCGAATGAATTCCATTCGAGATCATGGCTTTCGAGTCCATTCCATTAAAGTCCATTACATTCGAATCCATTATATTTGGGTCCATTCCATTGAATTCCATTCTGTTCCATTCCATTCATTTTCATTCCATTAGATTCCATTCCATTTGAGTCCATTCCATTGCATTCCATTCGAATTCATTACATTCAATTCTATTCCATTCGACTCCATTCCCTTCCATTCTGTTAAATCCGAATCCGTTCCATTCTATTCCATTCCATTCCATTCCTTTCCATTCCATTCCATTGCATTCCATTCTTTTCCATTCCATTCGAGTCAATTCTACTCCAGTCCATTCCATTCGAGTCCTTTCCATTCCAGTCCATTCCATTCGAGTCCATTCCATTCCATTCCATTCCATACATTTCCATTACACCCCATTCCAGTCTATTCCTTTCGTTTCCTTTCATTTCCATTCCATTTGATTGCATTCCTTTTGATTCCATTTCATTCGACTCCATTCTGTTCGAGTCCATTCCATTCCATTCCATTTGATTCCAATCCATTCGATTCCATTTTATTCCAGTCCATTCCATTTGATTCCACTCCATTACAGTCAATTCCATTGGATTCCATTCCATTTGATTCCATTTCATTCGATTCCATTCCACTCAATTCCCCTCCGTTCCATTCCATTGCATTCCATTCTATTCCATTCCATTGCCTTCCCTTCTATTCCATTGTATTACATTCCATTGGATTCCATTCCATTCGAGTAAATTACATTGCAATCCATTCCATTCGTGTCCGTTCTGTTCCAGTCATTTCCATTCCAGTCCATTAAATTCGATTCCATTCCATTCGATTCCATTCCATTTGAATCAATTACATTGCAATCCATTACATTCGAGTCCTTTCTATTCCAGTCCATTCCATTCTGGTCCATTCCATTCGATTCCATTCCATACTATTGCATTCCATTCCATTCCTTTCTATTCGAATAAGTTCCATTCGAGACCATTCCTTTAAAATCCGTTCTATTTGAGTCCATTCCAATCGATTCCATTACATTTAGGTCCATTGCATTCAATTCCATTCCATTCTATTCCATTCGAATCCAGTCCATTCGTGTCCATTCCATTCTGTTCCACTCCATTCAAAGCCATTCCATTCAATTCTATTCCATTCGACTCCATTCCATTCGATTCGATTCCATTCCATTCCATTCCGTTCTGTTCGATTCCAATCTATATGATTCCATTTTTTCCATTCCATTCCAATGGGGTCCATTACATTCGATTCCATTCCAGTGGATTCCATTTCATTCGATTCCATTCAACTCGATTCCACTCCGTTCCATTTGATTGCATTCCATTCTATTCCATTCCATAGCGTTACATTCCATTCCATTTGACTACATTCCAACCGATTCCATTCCATTCATATCAATTACATTGAAATCCATTACATTTGTGTTAGTTCTATTCCAGTCCATTCCAGTCCGGTCCATTCCATTCAATTCCATTCCCTTCGATTCCATTCCATACAGTTGCATTCCATTCAATTACATTCAAATGGAATAAATTCATTCGAGACTATTCCTTTTGAGTCCATTGTATTTGAACCCATTCCATTCGTGTCCATTACATTTGGGTCCATTCCATTCCATTCCATTCCATTCCTTTCCATTCGAAGCCTTTCCATTCTGTTCTATTCCATTCGAGTCCATTCCTTTCCATTCCATTCCATTCCATTCAATGCCATTCCATTCTATTCTACTCCATTTGACTCCATTCCATTCCATTCCACTCCATCCGATTCCATTCCATTCTATTCCATCCCATTCCATTCCATTCGTGTCCATTCCACTCCAGTAAAGTCCATTCGAATCCATTCCATTCCAGTCCATTCCATTCGGGTCCATTCCATTCCAATCGATATCTTTCCATTACACTCCATTCCATTGTATTACATTCCATTCAATTCTTTCCATTACACTCCATTCCTTTCTATTCCTTTCGATTCCATTCAATTCCATTCTATTCAATTCCATTCCATTCGTTTCCATTCCATTCATCTCCATTCCATTCATCTCCATTCCATTCGAGTCCATTCCATTCCATTTCATTCCGTTCCATTCAATTCCAATCCATTCGATTCCATTTTTTTCCTGTCCATTCCATTTGAGTCCATTCCGTTCCAGTACATTCAATTTGATTCCATTCCATTAAATTCCATTCCACTCAATTCCACTCCGTTCCATTCCATTGCATTCCATTCTATTCCATTCCATTGCATACCGTTCGATTCCATTTGATTACATTCCATTTGATTCCATTCCATTCAAACAAATTATATTGCAATCCATTAAATTGGAGTCCGTTCTGTTCCAGTCCATTCCGTTCCATTGCAATCCATTCGTATCCATGCCTCTCAAGTCCATTCCATTCTAGTCCATTCCATTCCAATCTATTCCATTCGTGTCCTTTCCATTCCATTTGATATCTTTCCTTTACTGTCCATTCCATTCTACTCCTTTCGATTACATTCAATTCCATTCCATTGGATTCCATTCCATTTGAATCCATTCCATTCAACTCCATTCCATTCGAGTCCATTCTATTCCATTCCATTCCATTCCATTCCAATCCGTTCGATTCCATTTTTTTCCAGTCCATTCCATTCGAGTCCACTCCATTCCAGTCCATTCCATTCGATTCCATTCCTTTCGATTCCATTCCACTCTATTCCACTCCGTTCCATTCCATTGCATTCCTTTCTATTCCATTCAATTGCATTCCATTACATTCCATTTGATTACATTACTTTCGATTCCATTCCATTTGAATCAAATACATTGGAATCCATTACATTCGAGTCCTTTCTATTCCAGTGTCCTTTCTATTCCAGTGCATTCCATTGCGGTATATTCCATTCAATTCCATTCCATACTATGGCATTCCATTCGATTCCATTCTATTTGAATAAATTCCATTCGAGGCCATTGCTTTCAAGTCCATTCTATTTGATTCCATTCCATTCGAGTCCATTTCATTTGGGTCAATTCCATTCCATTCGATACCATTCCATTCTATTCTATTCCATTCGAGTCCATTCCATTCGAGTCCATTCCATTCCATTAGTTTCCGTTCCATTCTATGTCATTCCATTATATTCTATTCCATTCGACTCCATTCAATTCCATTCTGTTCCATCCAATTCCATTATATTGTATTCCTTTCAATTCCATTCCATTCCATTCGTTTACATTCCATTTCCGTCCATTCCACTGCAGTCTATTCCATTCGAGTCCATTCCATTCCAATCCATTACGTTTGAGTCCATTCCATTCCATTCCATTCCATTCGATATCTTTCCATTACACTCCATTCCATTCTATTCCTTTTGAATGCATTCAATTCCTTTCTATTAGATTGCATTCCATTAGATTGCATTCCATTCGTCTCCATTCCATTCCAGTCCATTACATTCGATTCTATTCCATTCGATTCCATTCCACTCAATTCCACTCTGTTCCATTCAATTGCATTCCATTCTATTCCATTCCAATGCATTCCATTCAATTCCATTTGTTTACATTGCATTCGATTCCATTCCATTCGAATCAATTACATTCCAATCTTTTACATTCGAGTCCATTCTATTCCAGTCAATTCCATTCCGTTCCATTCAATTCGATTCCATTCCATTCGATTCCATTTCATTCTATTGCATTCCATTTGATTCCATTCTATTCGTATAAATACCATTCGAGACCATTGCTTTTGAGTCCATTCTATTTGAGACCATTCCATTCGAGTCCATTGCATTTGGGTCCATTCCATTCCATTCCATTCCTTTCCATTCCATTCCATTCGAATCCATTAGATTCGAGTCCATGCCATTCCATTCCATTCCATTCGATGCCATTGCATTCGATGCCATTCCTTTGAATTTTATTCCTTTTCACCCCTTTCCATTCCATTCCATCCAATTTCATTCCATTCTATTCCTTCCCATTCCATTCCTTTCCATTCCATTCCTTTCCTTTTGTTTCCATTCCATTCGAGTCCATTCCACGCCAGTCCATTCCATTCGAGTCCATTCCATTCCAGTACATTCGCTTCGAGTCCATTCCATTCCATTCCATTCCATTCCATTCCATTTGATATCTTTCCATTACACTCCATTCCATTCTATTCCATTCGATGCCATTCACTTCCATTTTATTTGATTCCATTCCATTGGATTCCATTCCATTCGACTCCATTCCATTCGAGTCCATTGTATTCCATTCCTTTCCATTCATTTCCGTTCGATTCCAATCCGTTTGACTCTATTTTGTTCCAATCCTTTCCATTCGATTCCATTCCATTCCAGTCAATTCCATTCGATTCCATTCCGTTTGCTTCCATTCCACTCGATTCCACTCCGTTCCATTCCATTGCATTCCATTCTATTCCATTCCATTGTATTACATTAAATTCCATTTGATTACATTCCATTTGATTCCATTCCATTTGAGTCAATTAGATTGCAGTCCAATATATTAGAGTCCGTTCTATTCCAGTCCATTCCATTCCGGTCCATTCCATTCCAAAGTATTGCGTTCCATTTGATTCCGTTCTATTTGCATATATTCCATTCGAGACCATTCCCTTCGTGTCCATTCCATTTGAGTCCATTCCACTTGAGTCCATTACATTTGGTTCCATTCCATTCCATTCCATTAAATGCCATTCCATTTGATTCTATTCAATTCGAGTCCATTCCATTTGAGTCCATTCCGTTCCATTTGACGCCATTACATTCAATTCTTTACCATTCGACTCCATTCCATTCCATTGCTTTCCATTCGATTCGATTCCATTCCATTGATTTCCATTCCATTCGAGTCCATTCCACTCCATTCCATTCCATTCGAGTCCATTCCATTATAGTCCATTCAATTTGAGTCCATTCAATTCCATTCCATGCCATTCAATATCTTTCCATTTCACTCAATTCCGTTCTATTCCTTTCATTTACTTTCAATTCCATTCCATTCAATTCCATTCCGTTCAACTCCATTCCATTCCATTCTGTTCCGTTTGATTTTAATCAGTTCGATACCATTTTGTACCAGTCCATTCCATTCGAGTCCATTCCATTCCAGTCCATTTCATTTCATTCCTTTCCATTCGATTCCATCCCATTCGATTCCATTCCACTCGATTCCACTCGGTTCCATTTCATTGCATTCCATTCTATTCCATTCCATTGAATTCTATTCCATTCCATTTGATTACATTGCATTCAATTCCATTCCATTCAAATCAATTACATTTCAATCCATTACATTCAAGTCCGTTCTATTCCAGTCCGTTCCATTCTGGTCCATTCCATTCTATTCCATTCCATTTGATTCCATTGCATACTATTTCAATCCATTCTATTCCATTCTATTCGAGTAAATTCCATTCTAGACCATTCCGTTCGAGTCCAGTTTATTTGAGTCCATTCCATTCAAATCCATTACATTTGGGTCCATTCCATTCCATTCCATTTGATGCCATTACATTCAGTGTTATTCCATTAGAGAACATTACATTAGAGTCCATTCCATTCCATTCCATTCCACTCCATTCATTGCCATTCCATTCGATTCTATTCCACTCGACTCCATTCCATTCCATTCCATCGGATTCCATTCCATTGTATTCCTTTCCATTCCATTCCATTCCTTTCCATTCCATTTGTGTCCATTCAACTGCAGTCCATTCCATTCCAGTCCATTGCATTCGAGTCCATTCCATTCCATTTCATTACACTCGGTATCTTTCCATTACACTCCAATCCATTCTATTCTTTTGATTCCATTCAATTTCATACCATTTGATTCCATTCCATTTGACTCCATTCCATGCGAGTCCATTCCATTCCATTCCATTCCGTTCCATCCGATTCCAATCCTTACCATTCCATTTTGTACCTGTCCATTCCATTCTAGTCCATTCCATACCAGTCCATTCCCTTCGATTCCATTCCATATGATTACATTCCATTCGATTCCATTCCACTCCATTCCACTCCATTGCATTCTACTTCGTTACATTCTATTCCATTCCAATGCATTCCATTCCATTCCATTTGATTCCATTCCACTTGATTCCATTCCACTCGAGTCAATTACATTGCAATCCATTTCATTCCAGTTCGTTCTGTTCAAGTCCATTCCATTCCAGTCCGTTCCATTCGATTCGATTCAATTCAATTCCATTCCATACTATTGCATTCCATTTGATTCCATTCTATTCGAATAAGTTCCATTCGAGACCATTCCTTTCTATTGCATTCTATTTGAGTACATTTCATTCGAGTCCATTACATTTGGATCCATTCCATTCCATTCCAATCCTTTCCATTCCATTTGATGCCATTCCATTTGATTCTATTCCATTCGAGTTCATTCCATTCCATTTTATTCCATTCCATTCGATGCCATTCCATTCGATTCTATTCCATTTGACTCCATTCCATTCCATTCCATTCAATCCGATTCCATTCCATTATATTCCTTTCCCTTTCATTCCATTCCATTCCATGCCATTCGTTTACATTCCTTTCGAGTCCTTTCCATTCCAGTCCATTCCATTCGAGTCCATTCTTTTCCCATCTATTCCATTCGAGTCCATTCCATTCCATTTCATTCCATTCGATATTTTTCTGTTACACTGCATTCCATTCTGTTCCTTTCAATTCCATTCCATTTGAGTACATTCCATTCCATTCCATTCCGTTCCGTTCGATTCCAATCCATTAGATTCCATTTTGTTGCAGCCCATTCCATTTGAGTCCATTCCATTGCGGTCCATTCCATTCGATTCCATTCCATTCGATTCCCTTCCATTCAATTCCATTCCACTTCATTCCACTCCATTCCATTCCAATGCATTCGGTTCTCTTCCATTCCATTGCATTCCATTCCATTCCATTTGATTACATTACATTTGAGTCCATTCCTTTCAAATCAATTACATTGCAATCCATTCCATTCGAGTCTGTTCTATTCCAGTCCATGCCATTCCGGTCCATTCCATTCGATTCCATTCCATTTGATTCCATTCCATACCATTGGATTCCATTCTATTCGAATAAATTCCATTCGAGACGATTCCTTTCGAGTCCATTGAATTTGAGTGCATTTCACTTGTGTCTATTACATTTGGGTCCATTCCATTCCATTCCATTCCATTCGATGACAGTCCATTCGAGTCCATTCAATTCCATTCCAATCCATTCCATTGCATTCGATGTCATTCCTTTTGATTCCATTCATTCGACTCCATTGCATTCCATTCCATTCCGTCTGTCCATTCCATTCCATTCCATTCATTTCCATTCCATTCGAGTCCATTCCACTCCAGTCCATTCCATTCGAGTCCATTCCATTCGATTCCATTCCATTCGAGTCCATTCCATTTCATTCCATTCCATTCCATTCGATAACTTTCCATTACACTCCAGTCCATTCTATTCCTTTTGATCCCATTCAATTCCTTTCCATTCAATTCCTTTCCATTCAATTCCATTCCATCTGACTCCCTTTCTTATGACTTCATTCCATTCCATTGCATTCCATTCCGCTCTGATCGATTCCACTCTGTTTGATTCCATTTTTTCCAGCCCATTCCATTCGAGTCCATTCCATTCGATTCCAATTCATTCGATTACAGTTCATTCGACTCCATTCCACTCGATTCCACTCCATTCCATTCCATTCCATTGCATTCCATTCTATTCCATTCAATTGCATTGTATTCCTTTCCATTTGATTACATTACATTCGATTCCATTTCATTCAAATCAACTACATAGCAATCCATTACATTTTAGTTCGTTCTATTCCAGTCCCTTTCATTCCAGTCCATTCCGTTCGATTCCATCCCCTTCGATTCCATTCCATACTGTTGCATTCCATTCGATTCCATTCTAATCGAATAAATTCATTTGTGACCATTCCTTTCGAGTCCATTCTATTTGAGTCCATTCCATTCGAGTCCATTATATTTGGGTCCCTTCCATTTCATTCCTTTCCCTTCCATTACATTCCATTCAATGTCATTCCATTTGATTCTATTCCATTCGAGTCCATCACATTGGTGTCCGTTCCATTCCATTCCATTCCATTTTATTCAATTCTATTCCATTTGACTCCATTCAATTCCATTCCGTTCCAGCCGATTTCATTCCGTTCTATTCCTTTCCATTCCATGCCAATCCATTCCATTCTTTTCTATTCCATTGGAGTCCATTCCAATCCAGTCCATTCCATTCGAGTCCATTCCATTGAACTCCATTCCATTCGAATCCATTCCACTCAATTCCACTCCATTCCATTCCATTGCATTCAATTCTATTCCATTCTATTGGATTCAATTCCATTCTATTTGATTACATTGCACTCGATTCCTTTCCATTTGAATAAATTACGTTGCAGTCCATTACATTCGGGTCCATTCTATTCCAGTCCATTCCATTACAGTCCATTCCATTCGATACCATTCCTTTCGATTCCATTCCATACTATTGCATTCCATTCGACTCCATTCTATTAGAATAAATTCCATTCGTGACCATTCCTTTCGAGTCCATTGTATTTGAGTCCATTCCATTCGATTCCATTACATTTTGGTCCATTCCATTCCATTCGCTTCCATTCCATTCCATTCCGTTCCATTCCGTTCCATTCCATTCCATTCGTTGCCATTCCATTCGATTCTATTCCATTCCATTCCACTCCATTCCATTAAACTCCATTCAATGCCATTCCATTTGAATCTCTTCCATTCGACTCCATTCCCATCCATTCTGTCCCATCCAATTCCATTCCATTCTATCCCTTTCCGTTCCATTCCATTCCATTCCATTCCATTCCTTTCACTTCCATTACATTCGAGTCCATTCTACTCCATCCCATTCCATTCAAGTCCATTCCATTCCAGTCCATCCCATTAGAGTCCACTCCATTCCATTGCATTCCATTTGATATGTTTCCATTACGCTCCATTCCATTCTATTATATTGAATTCCATTCCATTCCATTCCATTCAATTACATTCCTTTCGATATGTTTCCATTATGCTCCATTCCATTTTATTCCATTCGATTCCATTCAATTCCATTCCATTATATTCCATTCCGTTCGATTCCATTACACTCAGTTCCACTCCAATCCATTCCATTGTATTCCATTGTATTCCATCCCATTGCCTTCCATTCCATTCCATTAGATTACATTCCATTCAATTCCATTCCTTTCAATTCCATTACACTCGATTCCACTCCAATCCATTCCTTTGCATTCCATTTTATTCCATCCCATTGCCTTCCATCCCATTCCATTAGATTACATTCCATTCGATTGCATTCCGTTGGAATCAATTTCTTTGCAATCCATTACATTCAAGTGTGTTCTATTCCAGTCCATTCAATTCTGCTACATTCCATTCGATTCCATTCCATTCGATTCCATTGCATACAGTTGCTTTCCTTTCGATTCCATTCTATTTGAATAAATTCCATTCTAGACCATTTCTTTAAAGTCCATGCCATTCGAGTCCATACCATTCGAGTCCATTCCATTCGATTCCGTTCTGTTCGATTCCATTCCATTCGGTTCCATTGCATGCAATTGCATTCCTTTCGAATCCATTCTATTTGAATAAATTCCATTCTAGACCATTCCTTTAAAGTCCATTCCATTCGAGTCCATACCATTCGAGTCCATTCCATTCGATTCCATTCCATTCGATTCCATTCCATTCGATTCCATTCCTCCCGATTACTCTCCATTCCATTCGATTGCATTCCATTCTATTCCATTCCATTGCATTCCATTCAATCCCATTTGATTACATTTCATTTGATTCCATTCCATTCGAATCAATTACATTGCAATCCATTTCATTCGTGTCCGTTCTATTCCAGTCCTTTTCTTTCTGGTCCATTCCATTTGATTCCATTCCATTCGATTCCATTCCATACTATTGCAGTCCATTCTATTCCATTCTATTGGCATGAATTCCATTCGAGACCATTACTTTCCAATCCATTCTATTTGAGTCCCTTCCTTTCAAGTCCATTATATATGGGTCCATTCAATTCCATTCCATTCCATTCCATTTCTTTCGATGTCATTCCATTCCATTCTATTGCATTCAATTTCATTCCATTCGAGTCCATTCCATTCCATTCCATTAAATTCGACGCCATTCCGTTTGATTCTATTCCATTTGAATCCATTCCATTCCATTCCACTGCATTCCACCTGAGTCCATTCCATTCTATTCCATTCCATTCCATTCCTTGCCATTCCATTCCATTCCATTTGAGTCCATTCCATTCCATTCCATTCCATTTGGTATCATTCCATTGCACTCTGATCCATTCTCTTTCTTTCGATTAAATTCAATTCCATTCTATTCGATTACATTCCATTCGATTCCATTGCATTCAACTCCATTCCAATCGAGTCCATTCCATTCCATTGCATTCCATTCCATTCCGTTCCATTTGATTCCAATCCGTTCGATTCCATTTTGTTTCAGTCCATTCCATTTGATTCCATTCCATTCGTTTCCATTCCATTCGATTGCATTCCCCTTGATTCCACTCCATTCCATTCCATTGCATTCCATTCTCTTCCATTCTATTGCATGCCATTTTATTTCATTTGATTACATTCCATTCGATTCCATTCATTTCATATCAATTACATTACAATCCATTACATTTGAGTCCATTCTATTCCAGTCCATTCCATTCCGATCCATTCCATTCAATTCTTTCCTTTCGATTCCACTCCATAATCTTGCATTCCATTCCATTCCTTTCTATTCGAATAAGTTCCATTCAAGACCATTCCTTTCAAGTCCGTTCTATCTGAGTCCGTTCCATTAGAGTACATTACCTTTAGGTCCATTCCATTCCATTCCATTCCATTCCATTCCTATCCATGCCATGCCATTCCTTTCAATTCTCTTCTATTCGAGTCCACTCCATTCGAGTCCATTCCATTCCGTTCCATTCCATTCGATGCCTTTCCATTCAATTCTATTCCATTCGACTCCATTCCATTCGAGTCCATTCCAATCCATTCCATTCCTTTCCCTTTGATTCCAATCCGTTCAATTCCAGTTTTTTCCATTCCATTCCATTCGAGTCCACTACATTCGATTCCATTCCATTGGATTCCATTTCATTTGATTCCATTCCACTCGATTCCACTCTGTTCCATTCGATTGCGTTCCATTCTATTCCATTCCATTACATTCCATTCCATTTGATTACTTACCAACCGATTCCATTCCATTCATATCAATTACATTGAAATCCATTACATTTGGGTCCGTTCTATTCCAGTCCATTCCATTCCTGTCCATTCCATTCGATTCCATTCTGTTCGATTCCATTCCATACAATTGCATTCCATTCGATTCCGTTCTAATCAAATAAATTCATTTGAGACCATTCCTTTCGAGTCCATTCTATTTGAGTCCATTCCATTCGAGTCCATTACATTTGGGTTCATTCCATTCCATTCCATTCCATTCCTTTCCATTCGATTTCCTTTCATTCTATTCTTTTCCATTCAAGTCCATTCCATTCTAGTCCGTTCCTTTCCATTAAATTCCATTCAATTCGATGCCATTCCATTCGATTCTATTTCATTAGACTCCATTCCATTCCATTTCATTCCATCTGATTCCATTCCATTCAATTCCTTTCCATTCCATTCCATTCGTTTCCATTCCATTCAAGCCCATTCCACTCCACTCCATTCCATTCGAATCCATTCCATTCCAGTACATTCCATTCAGGTCCATTCCATTCCATTCCATTCGATATATTTCCATTGCACTCCTTTCCATTCTATTCCATTCCATTCCATATCTTTCCATTAAACTCCATTCCATTCTATTCCTTTTTATTCCATTCAATTCCATTCCATTCGATTCCATTCCATTCATTTCTATTTCATTCGACTCCATTCCATGTGAGTCCATCCCATTCCATTCCCTTCCATGCCGTTCCGTTTGATTCCTATCCGTTCAATTCCATTTTGTTTCTGTCCATTCCATTCAAGTCCATTCAATTCCAGTCCATTCATTTCGATTCCTTTCCATTAAATTCCATTCCACTACATTCCACTCTGTTCCATTCCATTGCATTCCATTCTAAAGCATTCCATTGCATTCCATTCTATTCCATTCCATTGCATAACATTCCATTCCATTTGATTACATTCCATGCGTTTCAATTCCATTCAAATCAATTATATTACAATCCATTACATTGGAGTCTGTTCTATTGAAATGCATTCCATTCCAGTCCATTCCATTCCAATCCATTCCATTCGATTCCATTCCATTCCATTCGATATCTTTCCATTACACTCCATTCCATTCTATTCCTTTCGATTCCATTCAATTCCATTCCATTCGATTCCATTCCATTCGATTCCATTCCAGTCGACTCCATTCCATTCGAGTCCATTCCATTCAATTCCATTCCCTTCCATTCCGTTCGATTCCAATCCTTTCAATTCCATTTTTTTCCAATCTATTCCATTCGAGTCCATTCCATTCCAGTCCATTCCATTCCAGTCCATTCCATTCGATTGCATTCCATACTATTGCATTAAATTCGATTCCATTCTCTTTGAATAAATTCCTTTTGAGACCATTGATTTCCTGTCCATTCTATTTGAGTCCATTCCATTCGAGTCCATTACTTTTCTGTCAATTCCATTCCATTCCATTCCATTCGATGCAATTCCGTTCTATTCTATTCCATTCGAGTACATTCCATTCTATTCCTTTCAATTCCATTCAATGCCATTACATTCGATTCTACTCCATTCGACTCCATTCCATTCCATCCGATTCCATTCCATTCTATTCCTTTCAATTCCATTCCATTCCATTCGTTTCCATTCCATTCCAGTCCATTCCACTCCAGTCCAATGCATTTGAGTCCATTCCTTTCCAGTCCATTCCATTTGAGTCCATTCCACTCCATTCGATATCTTTCCATTACACTCCATTCCATTCTATTCCTTTTGATTGCATTCAATTCCATTCTATTAGACTACATTCCATTCGATTCCATTCCATTCGACTCCATTCCATTCGAGTCCATTCCATTCCTTTAAATTTCATTCCATTCTGTTCCGTTCGATTCCAATCTTTTTGATTCCATTTTTTCCAGTCCATTCAATTCGAGTCCATTCCATTCGAGTCCATTCCTTTCGATTCCATTCCATTCGATTCTATTCCACTCGATTCCACTCCTTTCCATTCCATTGCATTCTATTCTATTCCATTCCATTGCATTCCATTCAATTCCATTTGTTTACATTCCATTTGATTCCATTACATTCGAATCAATTACATTGCAATCCGTTACATTCAAGTCCATTCTATTCCAGTCCATTTCATTCCGATCCGTTCCATTCGATTCCATTCCATTCCATGCTATTGCATTCCATTCGATTCCGTTCAATTTGTATAAATTGAATTCGAGACCATTCCTTTCGAGTCCATTGTATTTGAGTCCATTACATTCGAGTGCGTTACGTTTGGTGCCATTCCATTCCATTCCATTCCATTCCATGCCATTCCATTCTATTTTATTCCATTCGAGTCCATTACATTAGAGTCCATGCCATTTCTTTCGATTCCATTCGATGCCATTCAATTCAATGCCATTCCATTGGATTCTCTTCCATTTGACTCCTATCCATTCCATTCCATTCCATCCGATTCCATTCCATTCTATTTCTTTCCACTCCATTCCTTTCCATTGCATTCCTTTCCTTTTGTTTCCATTCGATTCAAGTGCATTCCACTCCAGTCCATTCCTTCGAGTCCATTCCATTCCATTGGATATATTTCTATTACACTCCATTCCATCCTATTCCTTTGGATTCCATTCAATTCTATTCTTTTTGATTCCATTCCATTCGATTAAATTCCATTCCACTCCATTCAATTCAACTCCATTCCATTCGAATCCATTCCATTCCAATCCATTCATTTCCGTTCGATTCCAATCTGTTTGACTCCATTTTTTTCTAATCCATTCCATTCGAGTCCATTCCTTTCCAGTCATTTCCATTCGATTCCATTCCATTTGCTACCATTCCACTAGATTCCACTCTGTTCCATTCTGCTGTATTCCATTCTATTCCATTCCATTACATTCCATTCTATTCCATTCCATTGCATTACATTATATTCCACTTGATTACATTCCATTCGATTCGATTCCATTTCAATCAATTAGATTGCAATCCATTACACTTGAGTCTGTTCTATTCCAGTCAATTCCATTCTGGTCCATTCCATTCAATTCCATTCAATAGAATTGCATTCCATTCGATTCCATTCTATTTGCATATATTCCATTCGAGTCCATTCCTTTCATGTCCATTCCATTTGAGTCCATTACTTTTGTGTCCATTGCATTCCATTCCATTCCATTCCAGGCCATTTCATTTGATTCTATTCAATTCGAGTCCATTCCATTTGAGTCCATTCCATTCCATTCAACACCATTACATTCGATTCTATTCCATTCGACTCCATTCCATTCCGTTACATTCCATCTGATTCCATTACATTCCATTCGTTTCCATTCCATTCGAGTCCATTCCACTCCAGTCCATTCCATTCTAGTCCATTCCATTATAATCCATTCCATTCGATTCCATTCAGTTCCATTCCATGCCATTTGATATCTTTCCATTTCACTCCATTCCATTCTATTCCTTTCATTTCCATTCAGTTCCATTCCATTCCATGCCATTCCATTCCATTCCATTCCATTCGATTCCATTCCATTCGACTCCATTCAATTCCATTCAATTCTATTCCATTCTACTTCGTTCGATTCCAATCAATTCCACTCCATTTTGTTCCACTCCATTCTATTCGAGTCCATTTCATACCAGTCCATTCCATTCGATTCCATTCCATTCAATTCCACTCCGTTCCATTCCATTGCATTCCAATCTATTCCATTCCATGCGATTCCAATCCATTCTCATCTATTACATTGCAATCCACTACATTCAAATACATTCTATTCCAGTCTATTCCATTCTGGTACATTCAATTCGATTGCATTCCATACTATTGCATTCCATTCAATTCCATTCCATTCGAATAAATTTCATTCGAGGCCATTGCCTTTGAGTCCATTCAATTTCAGTCCATTCCCTTAGAGCCCTTTATATTTGGGTCCATTCCATTCCATTCCTTTCCATTCGATGCCATTCCATACGATTCTATTCCATTCGAGTTCATTCCAGTAAATTCCATTCCATTCCATTCGATGTCATTCCATTCCATTAAAGTCCATTCCATTCCACTCCTTTCCATCTGATTCCATTCCATTCTATTCCTTTCCATTCCATTCCATTCGTTTCCATTCCATTCGAGTCCATTCGACTCGAGTCCATTCCATTCCAGTCCATTCCTTTCCATTCCATCCCATTCCATTCCATTCCAGCCCATTCCATATGAGTCCATTCCATTTGATTATATTCCATTCGAGCCCATTCCATTCCATTCCATTCGACACATTTCCATTACACTCCATTCCAGTCTATTCCTTTTGTTTCCATTCATTTCCATTCCATTTGATTCCGTTCCATTCGACTCCATTTCATTCGACTCCATTCTGTTCGAGTCCATTCCATTCCATTCCATTCCATTTGATTCCAATCTGTACAATTCCTTTTTATTCCAGTCCATTCCATCCGATTCCACTCCATTACAGTCCATTCCATTGGATTCCATTCCATTAGATTCCATTTCATTCGATTCCATTCCACTCCATTCCCCTCCATTCCATTCCATTGCATTCCATTCTATTCAATTCCATTGCCTTCCTTTCCGTTCCGTTGTATTACATTTCATTTGATTCCATTCCATTCGAATCAATTTCATTGCAATCCATTCCATTCGTGTCCTTTCTATTCCACTCATTTCCATTCCAGTCCATTCCATTCGATTCCATTCCATTTGATTCCATTCCATTCGAATCAATTACATTGCAATCCATTACATTCGAGTCCTTTCTATTCCAGTCCATTCTATTCTGGTCCATTCCATTCTATTCCATTCCATTCGTTTGTTTCCATTCGAATCAATTACATTGCAACAAACTGCATTCGAGTTCATTTTATTGCAGTCCATTCCACTCTGTTCCATTCCATTTGATTCCATTCTTTTCGATTCTGTTCAATAATATTGCATTCCTTTCGATTCCATTCTATTCGAATAAATTCCATTCGAGACTATTTCTTTCGAGTCCATCCTATTTGAGTCCATTCCATTCGAGTCCATTACATTTGGGTCCATTCCATTCAATTCCATTCCTTTCCATTCCATTCTATTCAATTCGAGTCCATTCTTTTTGAGTCATTTCCATTCCATTCCATTCGATGCCATTCCATTCTATTCTATTCCATTCAACTTCATTCCCGTCCATTGCATTCCCTCCGATTCCTTTCCATTCTTTTTCGTTCCATTCCATTCCATTGCATTCCATTCAATTCCATTCGTTTCCATTCCATTCAACACATTTCCACTCCTGTCCTTTCCATTCGAATCCATTCCATTCTAGTCCATTCATTTCGACTGCATTCCATTTCCATTCCATTCAATATCTTTCTATTACACTCCATTCCATTCTATTCTTTCGCTTCCATTCAATTCCATTCTGTTAGATTCCATTACTTTCGATTCGATTCCATTCGACTCCATTGCATTCGTTTCGATTCCATTCCATTCCATTACGTTTGATTCCAATCCGTTCGATTTCATTTTGTTACAGTACATTCCATTCGACTCCATTCCATTCCTGTCCATTTCATTGGCTTCCATTCCATTAGCTTCCATTATATTTAATTCCATTCCACTCAATTCCACTCTGTTCCATTCCATTGCATTCCATTCTATTCTAGTCCATTGCATTCCATTCCATTCCATTTGATTAAATTCCATTCGATTCCATTCCATTCGAATCAATTACATTGCAATCCATTACACTTGAGTCCCTTCTATTCAAATCCATTCCATTCCGGTCCATTTCATTCGATTCCATTCCATTTGATTCCATTCCATTCGAATCAATTACATTGCAATCCATTACATTTGACTCCGTTCTATTCCAGTACATCCATTCCAGATCATTCCATTCTATTTGATTCCATTTGATTGCATTCCATATTACTGCATTCCATTCGATTCCATTCTATTCATACGGATTCCTTTTCAGATCATTTCTTTTGAGGCCATTCTATTCGAGTCCATTACATTTGAGACCATTCCATTCAATTCTGTTCCATTCCATGCCATTCCATTCGATGCCATTGCATTAGATTCTATGCCATTCGAGTCCACTGCATTCGAGTCCATTCCATTCCATTCCACTCCATTCCAATCCATTTGATGCAATTCCATTCGATTCTATTCCATTCAACTCCATTCCATTTCATTCCATTCCATCCGATTCCATTCCCTTCTATTCCTTTCCATTCCTTTCCATTCCATTCCATTCCATGCCATTCCATTCCATTCGTTTCCATTCCATTCGAGTCCATTCCACTCAAGTCCATTCCATTCGAGTCCATTCCCTTCCAGTCCATTCCATTCGAAGGCATTCCATCCAATTCCATTCCATTCGATATCTTTCCATTACACTCCATTTCATTCTGTTCTTTAGGATTCCATTCAATTCCATTCCATTCGATTCTATTCCATTCGACTCCATTCCATTCGAGTCCATTCCAATCCATTCCATTACACTCGGGTCCGTGCGATTCCAATCCATTCGATTCCATTTTGTTCCAGTACATTCCATTCGAGTCCATTCCATTCAATTCCATTTTATATCTTTCTGTTACACTCCATTCCATTCTATTCCTTTCGATTCCATTCAATTCGATTCCATTTGATACCATTCCATTCAATTCCATTCCGTTCAACTACATTCCATTCGAGTTCATTCCATTCCATTCCACTCCTTTCCATTCGATTCCAATCTGTTTGATTCCAATTTGTACCAGTCCATTCCATCCCGCTACTTTCCATTTGATTCCATTCGATTCGATTCCATTCCATATTATTGCATTCCATTCGATTCCATTCTATTCTAATAAATTCAATTCGAGAACATTCCTTTCGAGTACATTCTATTTGAGTCCATTCCATTCGAGTCCATTACATTTGGGTCCATTACATTCCATTTCTTTCTATTCCCTTCCATTCCATGCGATTCCATTCGATTCTATTCCGTTCGATCCCATTCCATTGCATTCCATTCCAACTGATTCCATTCCATTCTATTCTTTTCCATTTCATTCCATTCCTATCCTTTCCATTCCATTGCATTCGTTTCCATTCCATTCAAATCAATTCCACTCCAGTTCATTACATTCGAATCCATTCCATTCGAGGCCATTCCATTCAAGTCAATTCCTTTCGAGTCCATTCCATTCTGTTCTATTCCACTCGATATCTCTCCATTACACTCCATTGCATTCTATTCCTTTTGATTCCATTCCATTCATTTCCATTCCATTCGACTCCATTCTATTCGTGTCAATTCCATTCCATTCTATTCCGTTCCATTAGATTCCAATCCGTTTGATTCCATTTTATTCCAGTCCACTGAATTCGAGTCCATTCCATTCTACATTCCATTCCATTCCATTCCATTCTATTCCAATCGATTCCATTACGTTCCATTCCATTGGATTCCATTCTATTCCATTCCATTCCATTTGATTACATTCTGTTCTATTCCATTCTTGTCGAATCAATTACATTATAATCCATTACATTCTATTCTGTTGTATTCCAGTCCATTCTGTTCCGGTATATTCCATTCGACTCCATTCCATTTAAATCCATTCCATACTATTGCATTACTTTCGATTACATTCTATTCGAATAAATTACATTCGAGATCATTCCTTTTGAGTCCATTCTATTTGAGCCCATTCCATTCGATTTCCATTACTTTTGGACCATTCCGTTCCATTCCATTCCATTCCATTCCATTCAATGCCATTCCATCTGACTATATTCCATTCGAGTCCATTCCATTCGAATCCATTCCATTCCATTCTAATCCATTCGATGCCATTCCATTAGACTGTATTCCATTTGACTTCATTAAATTCCATTCCGTTCTATCCAATTCTATTCCATTCTCTTCCATTCCATTCCATTCCATTCCATTCTTTTCCATTCCATTCATGTCAATTCCGCTCCAGTACATTTCATTTGAGTCCATTCCATTCCATTCTATTTGAGTCCATTCTATTCCATTCCATTCCATTCCATTCGAGTCCATTCCATTCCATTCCATTCCATTCCATTCCATTCCATTCCATTTGATATCTTTCCATTACACTCCATACCATTCTATTCCTTTCGATTCCTTTCAATTCCATTCCATTCGATTCCAATCCATTCAGTTCCATTCCATTCGTCTCCATTCCATTCGAATCCATTCCATTCCATTCCATTCCATTCCATTCCATTCTTTTCGATTCCAATCGGTTCCATTTCATTTTGTTCCAGTCCATTCCATTGCATTCTATTCAATTCCATTCCATCTAATTCCATTCCACTTGGTTCCACTCCATTCCATTCCTTTGCATTCCATTCTGTTCCATTCTATTGCATTCAGTTCCATACTATTGAATACGTTCCTTTCGATTCCATTCCTTTCGAATCAATTACATTGCAATCCATTGCATTCCAGTCCGTTTTATTCCATTCCATTCCATTCCGGTCCATTGCTTTCGATTCCATTCCATACTACTGCTTTCCATTTGATTCCATTCTATTCGAATAAATTCCATTTGATACCACTTCTTTCTACTCCATTCTTTATGAGTCCATTCCATTCGAGTCCATTACAATTGGGTCCATTCCATTCCATTCAATTCTATTCCATTGAATTCCATTCCATTCGATTCTATTCCATTCAATTCCATTCCATTCGATTCCATTCCTTTCCAATCCATTCCATTCCGTTTGGTGCCATACCATTCGATTCTATTCCATTCGACTCCATCCGATTCCATTCTATTCTATTCCTTTCCATTTCATTCCATTCAATTCCATTCGTTTCCATTCCATTCCATTCCATTCTTGTCCATTATATTCTAGTCAATTCCACTCCAGTCCACTCCATTCGAGTCAATTCCATTCCATTCCATTCCATTCGAGTCCTCTCCATTCCATTCCATTCCATTCGAGTCCTCTCCATTCCATTCCATTCCATTCCATTCGATATCTTTTTACTACACTCCATACCATTCCATTCGAATCCACTCCATTCCGTTCCATTCCATTCAATATCTTTCCATTAAACTCCATTCCATTCTATTCCTTTTTATTCCATTCAATTCCATTCCATTCAAACCCATTCCTTTCGAGTACACTCCATTCCATTCCATTCAATTCCATTCTATTCCAAACTGTTCTTTTCCATTTTGTTCCAGTCCATTCCATTCGAATACATTCCATTCTGTCCATTCCATTCGATTCCTTTCCACTTGATTCCACTCCGTTCCATTCCATTGCATTCCATTCTATTCCATTCCATTGCATTCCATTCCATTCCATTTGATTACATTCCATTGGATTCCATTCCATTCGAATCAATTACATTGCACTCCATTACATTTGAGTCCATTCTATTCCAGTCGATTCCATTCCGGTCCATTCCTTTATACTCCTTTCCATTCGATTCCACTCCATACTATTGCGTTACATTCGATTCCATTCTATTCGAATAAATGCCATTCGAGACCATTCTTTTCGAGTGCTTTCTATTATATTCCACTCCATTCGAGTCCATTATATTTGGGTCCATTCCATTCCATTCGTTTCCTTTCCCTTCTATTCTATTCCATTCGAGTCCATTCCATTCGAGTCCATTCCATTCCATTCCATTCCATTCGAGTCCATTCCATTCCATTCCATTCCTTTCCATTCCATTCCATTCGATGTCATTCCATTCGATTCTATTACATTTGATGCCTTTCCATTACATTCCGTTCCATCCGATTCCATTCCATTCTATCCCTTTCTGTAACATTCCATTCCTTTCCTTCCATACAATTCCATTCCATTAGTTTGCATTCCATTCATGTCCATTCCACTCCAGTCCATTTCATTCAATACACTCCATTCCTGTCCATTCCATTCGTGTCCATTCCATTCCATTCCATTCCGTTCCATTCCATTCAATATCTCCGCATTACACTCCATTCCATACTACTCCATTCGATTCCATTCAATTCCATTCCATTCGATTCCATTCCACTCGACTCCATTCCGTTCCATTCCATTACACTCGAGTCCACTCCGTTCCAATCCATTGCATTCCATTTTATTCCTTTCCATTGCATTCCATTCCATTTGATTAGATTACATTCCATTCGATTGCATTCAATTTGAATCGAATACTTTGCAATCCATTACGTTCATGTCCATTCTATTCCAGTCCATTCCCTTCCAGTACATTCCATTCGATTCCATTCCATTCGATTCAATTCCATACTATTGCATTCCATTCGATTCCATTCTATTCGAATAAATTCCATTCGAGACCATACGTTTAGAGTCCATTCCATTCGAGTCTATTCCATTCATGTCCATTCCATTCGATTCCATTCCGTTTTATTCCATTCCACTCGATTCCTCTCCGATCCATTCCATTGCATTCCATTCTACTCCATTCCGTTGCTATCCATTTCATTCCATGTGATTACATTCCATTCAATTCCATTCCATTTGAATCAATTACATTGCAATCCATTACATTTGGGTCCGTTCTATTCCACTCCATTCCATTCCATTCCATTCCATTCCATTCCATTCGACACAATTCCATACTATTGCATTCTAGTCAATAAAGTTCTATTCAAATAAATTACATTCGAGACCATTCCTTTCGAATCCATTGTATTTGAGTCCCTGTTTTTGAGTCTATTCCATTCGATTCCATTCCATTCCATTCAATTCCATTCCATTCCATTCCATCCCATGCCATTGCATTTCATTCTATTCCATTCATGTCCATTCCATTCGATTCCATTCCATTCCATTCAATTCCATTCAATTCCATTCCAATCGATTCTGTTCCATTCAACTTCATTCAATTCCTTAACGTTCCATCCGATTCCATTCCATTCTATTCCTTTGCCTTCCATTCCATTCTATTCGTTTCTAATCCATTCGTGTCCATTCCACTCCACTCCTTTCCATTCGAGTCCACTCCATTCCAGTCCATTCCATTCGAGTCCATTCCATTCCATTCCATTCGATATCTTTCCATTACACTCCATTCCATTCTATGCCTTTCGATTCCATTCAATTCAATTCCATTCGATTCCTTTCCAATCGTTTCCATTCCATTCTACACCATTCCATTCGAATCCATTCCATTCCTTCCATTCCGTTCGGATCCATTTTCTTACAGTCCATTCCCTTCGAGTCCATTCCATTCCAGTCCATTCCATTCGATTGCATTCCATTCAATTCCATTCCACTCGATTCCACTCCTTTCCAATCCATTGCATTTGATTCTATTGCATTCCTTTGCATTCCTTTCCATTCCATTTGATTAAATTCCATTTGATTCCATTCCATTCTAATCAATTACATTGCCATCCATTACATTTGTATCCGTTCTTTTCCTGTCGATTCCATTCCAGTCCATTCCATACGATTCCATTCCTTTCGATTCCATTCGATACTATTGCATTCCATTCGATTCCATTCTATTCGAATAAATTCCATTCGAGACCATTCCCTTTGAGTCCATTCTATTTGAGTCCATTCCATTCGATTCCATTACATTTGGGTCCATTCCATTCCATTCTATTCCATTCCATTTCATTCCATTCGATGCCATTCCATTCGATTCTATTCCATTGGAGTCCATTCCATTCCATTCACTTCCATCCGATTCCATTCCATTGTATTCCTTTCCATTCCATTCCATTCTATTCCATTGTTTTCCATTCCATTCGAGTCCATTCAGCTCCAGTCCATTCCTTTCAACTCCCTTCCATTCCAGTCCATTCCATTCGAGTCCTTTCCTTTCCATTCCATTGCATTCAATATCTTTCCTTTCCATTCCATTCCATTCAATTCCTTTCGTTTCCTTTCAAATCCAATCCATTCGATTCCATTCCATTCGGTTTCTTTCCATTTGACTCCATTCCATTCGAGTCCATTCCATTCCATTACATTACATTCGAATCCATTCCATTCCCTTCCATTCCATTCCGTATCTTTCCTTTTCACTCCTTTCCATTCTTTTCCTTTCGATTCAATTCAATTCCATTCCGTTTGATTGCATTCCATGCAGTTCCATTTCTTTCGAATCAATTCCTTTCCATTCCTTTCCATTCTCCTCCGTTCAATTCCAATCCTTTCCGTTCAATTTTGTTCCTGTCCAAGGAATTCTAGTTGATTCCATTCCAGTCCGTTCCATTTGATTCTATTGCATTCGATTCCATTCCATGCTATTGCATTCCATTCAATTCCATTCTATTCGACTAAATTCCGTTCGAGACAATTCCTTTTGAGTCCATTCTATTTGATTTCATTCCATTCGAATCCATTACATTTGGGTCTATTCCATTCCATTCGGTTCCATTCTGTTCCGTTCAATTCCAATCCGTTTGATTCCATTTTGTTCCAGAACATTCCATTCGAGTCCATTCCATTCCACTCCATTTCATTCGATTCCATTCCATTCAATTGCATTCCACTCGATTCCAGTCCGTTCCAGTCCATTGCATTCCATTCTCTTCCATTCCATTGCATTTCTTTCCATTTCATTTGGTTTCATTACCTTTGATTCCATTCCATTCGAATCAATTACATTGCAATCCATTACTTTCATGTCCATTCAATTCCATTCCATTCCTTTCGATTCCATTCCATTCAACTTCATTCGATTCGATTCCATTCCATTTCATTCAATGCCATTCCATTCAATGCTATTCCATCCGAATACATTCCATTACAGTCCATTCCATTCCATTGCATTCCATTCCATTCCATTCATTCCCATTCCATTCGATTCTATTCCATTCGACTCCATTCCATTCCATTCCATTCCGTTCCATCTGATTCCATTCCACTGCATTCCTTTCTGTTCCATTCCATTCCATTCTTTTTGATTCCATTCGAGTCCATTGCACTGCAGTCCATTCCATTCTACTCCATTCCATTCCTATCCATTGCCTTCGAGTCCATTCCTTTCTATTCCATTCCATTCTGTATCTTTACATTATACTCCAATCCATTCAATTCTTTCGATTCCATTCAATTCCATGTCATTTGATTCCATTCCATTTGGCTCCATGCCATGTGAGTTCATTCCATTCCATTCCATTCCATTCCATTCTGTTCGATTCCAATCCATTCTATTCCATTTTGTACCTGTCCATTCCATTCTATTCCATTCCATACCAGTGCATTCCATTCAATTCCATTCCATACAATTCCATTCCATTCGATTCCATTCCACTCAATTCCACTCAGTTCCATTCCACTGCATTTCACTCCATTCCATTTCATTGTATTCCATTCCATTTGATTACATTCCACTTGATTCCATTCCATTCAAGCCATTTAAATTGGAATCCATTATATTTCAGTCCGTTGTAATCTAGTCCATTCCATTCCACTCCATTCCATTTGATTCGATTCCATTCGATTCCATTCCATACTATTGCATTCCATTCGATTCCATTCTATTCGAATAAACTCCATTCGAGACCATTCCTTTGGATTGCATTCTATTTGAGTTCACTCTATTCAAGTCCATTACATTTCATTCCATTCCATTCCATTCGAAGTCATTCCATACTATTCTATTCCATTCGAGTCCATTCCATTTGAGTCCTTTCCATTCCATTCCATTCTATTCCATTTCCATTCGATTCCATTCCATTCCATTCGACTCCGTTCCATTCCATTCTGATCCATCAGATTCCATTCCATTCTATTCCTTTCTATTTCCTTCCATTCTATTCAAATGGTTTCCATTCCATTAGTTTCCATTCCATTCAATCCATACCACTCCAGTCCTTTCCATTCGAGTCCATCCCATTCCACTCCGATTTATTCGAGTCAATCCCATTCCATTCCATTTGATATCTTTCAATTACATTCCATTATATTCAATTCCTTTCAATTGCATTCAATTCCATTCCATGGGATTCCATTACATTCCGTTCCATTCCATTAGACTTCATTCCATTCGAGTCCATTTCATTCCATTCCATTTGTTCAAATCCGTTCGATTCCATTTTGTTCCAGTCCATTCTATTCGAGTCCATTCCGTTTGATTCCATTTCATTCCATTCGAGGTCATTCCATTCCTTTCCATTCCATTCCATTCCAATCCATTCCGTTCGTTTCCATTCTTTTCGATTCCATTCCATTCCATTGCATTCCATTCGATGCCATTCCATTCAATTTTTTCCATTTGACTCCATTCCATTCCATTTCTTTCCATCCGTTTCCATTCCATTCTATTGCTTTCCATTGCATTCCATTCCTTTCCAGTCCATTCCATTCGAGTCCATTCATTCCTCTCCATTTGATATCTTTCCATTACACTCCATTCCATTCTGTTCCCTTCGATTCCATTCAATTCCATTCTATTCGTTTCCACTCCTTTCGATTCCATTCTGTTTGACTCAATTACTTTCGAGGTCATTCCTTTCCATTCCATTCCATTCCGTTCCATTCGATTCCAATCCGTTCGATTCCATTTTGTTCAATTCCATTCCATTCGAGTCCATTCCATTCTAGTATATTCCAATCGATTCCATTCCACTCAACTCCATTCCATTCGATTCCATTCCACTTGATTCCACTCTATTCCATTCCATTGCATTCTATTCGATTCCATTTCACTGCTTTCCGTTCCATTCCATTTAATTACATTCCATTCGATTCCATTCCATTCAAATCTATGACATTGCAGTGCATTACATTTGAGTCCTTTCTATTCCAGTACATTCCATTCCGTTCCATTCCATTCGATTCCATTACATTCGATTCCATTCCATAATATTGCATTCTACTTGATTCCATTGTATTCGAATAAATTCCTGTCGAGACCATTCCCTTTGTGTCCATTCTATTTGTGTCCATTCCTTTTGAGTGCATTACATTTGTGTCCATTCCATTCCATGCCATTCCATGCCATTCCATCTGATTCTATTCCATTTGATTCCATTCCATTTGAGTCCATTCCATTCCACTCAACGCCATTATATTCAATTCTATACAATTCGAATCCATTGCATTCCATTGCGTTCCATCCACTTCCATTCCATTCTATTCCTTTCCATTCTGTTCCACTCCAGTCCATTCCATTCGATTCCATTCCATTCTATTCTATTCCATTCTGTACCGTTTTATTCAAATCCGTTCGATACCATTTTGTTCTAGTCCAATCCATTCGCGTCCATTCCATTCCAGTTCATTCCATTCGATTCCATTCCACTCGATTCCACTCTGTTCCATTCTTTTGCATTCCATTCTATTCCATTCCATTTCATTCCACTCCATTCCATTTGGGTCGATTCCACTCCATTCCATTCCATTGTATTGGATTGCATTCCATTCAATGCTATTCCATTCGAGTATTTTCCATTAGAGTACATTCGATTCCATTCCGTTCCATTCCATTCATTGTCATTCCATTTGATTCTATTCCATTGGACTACATTCCATTCCATTGTGTTCCATCCGATTCCATTCCATTCTACTCCATTCCTTTCCATTCCCTTTCATCTGATTCCATTCCATTGTATTTTTTTCCTTTCAATTCCATTCTATTCCATTCCCTTTCATTCCATTCTATTCGTTTCCTTTCCATTCAAGTCCATTCTACTCCAGTCCATTCCAATCCAGTACATTCCATTCCAGTCCATTGTATTTGAGTCCATTCCCTTCCATTCCTTTCCGTATCTTTCCATTAAACTCCAATCCATTCTATTCTTTCGATTTCATTCCATTCCATTAGATTCCATTCCTTTTGACCCCATTCCATGCGCATCCATTCCATTCCATTCCATTCCGTTCGATTCCAATCCATTCCATTCCATTCCATTCCAATACATTTGGTTCCATTCCATTCCATTCCATTCCATTCATAGTCATTCCATTCTATTCTATTCCATTCGAGTCCATTCCATTCGAGTCCTCTCAATTCCATTCCTTTCAATCCCATTCCTTTCAATTCCATTCAATGCCATTCCACTCGATTCTATTCCATCTGACTCCATTCCATTGCATTTCGTTCCGTCCAATTCCTTTCTATGCTATTCCTCTCCATTCCATTCAATTCCATTCCATTCGTTTCCATTCCTTTCGAGTCCATTGCACTCCAGTCCATTCCATTCGAGTACATTCCATTCCAGTCCAATCCATTCGTGTCCATTCCATTCCATTCGATATTTTGCCATTGCACTATATTCCATTCTATAACTTTCGATTCCATTCGATTCCATTCCATTTGGTTACATTCCATTCGACTCCATTCCATTCAACTCCATTCCATTCCATTCCATTCCGTTTGATTCCAATCCTTTCCAATCCATTTTGTTCCAGTGAATTCCATTGGAGTCCATTCCATTCCAATCCATTCAATTCAATTCCATTCCATTCGATTAAATTCCACTCGATTACACTCCATTCCATTCCATTCGATTCCACTCCATTCCATTCCATTGCATTCCTTTTCACTCCATTGCATTCAATTCCATTCCACTCGGTTCCACTCCGTTCCATTCCATTGCATTCCACTTTTTTCCATTCCATTGAATTCCATTCCATTCCATTTGATTACATAAAATTTTATTCCGTTCCATTCAATTCATTTACATTGCAATCCATTACATTCGAGTCCGTTCCATTCGAGTCGATTCAATTTTGGTCTATTCTATTTGATTCCATTCCATCTGATTCCATTCCATACGATTGCATTCCATTCAATTCCATTCCATTTGAATAAATTACATTCGAGACCATTCTTTCGATTCCATTCCTTTCGAGTCCATTTTATTTGAGTCCATTCCATTCGAGTCCATTACGTATGGGTGGATTCCATTCCGTTCCATTCCATTCGATGCCATTCCGTTCTATTCTATTCCATTAGAGTCCATTCCTCTCAAGTCCATTCCATTCCATTCCATTCAATGCCATTCCATTTGATTCTATTGCGTTCGACTCCATTCCATTCCCTTCCATTCCATCCAATTCCATTCCATTCTGTTCCTTTCCATTCCATTAGATTCCATTCCATTCCCTTCCATTTCAATCCAATCCATGCCATTGGTTTCTATTCCATTCGAGTCCATTCCATTCCATTCCATTCCATTCCATTCAATGTGATTCCATTCAATTCTATTTCATTCGACTCCATTCCATTCCATTCCTTTTCATCTGTTTCCATTCCATTTTGTTCCTTTCCATTCCAATCCTTTCTTTTCCATTACATTCCATTCGTTTCCATTTCTTTCGAGTCCATTCCACTCCAGTCCATTCCATTCGAGTCCATTCCAATCCAGTCCATTCCTTTCGAGTCTATTCCATTCCGTTCCATTCGAAATCTTCCCATTACACTCTATTCTATTCTATTCCCTTCAATTTTTCCATTCTATTCGATTCCACTCCTTTCGATTCCATTGCATTCGACTCAATTACATTCAAAGCCATTACATTCCATTGATTTCCATTCCGTTCCATTCGATTCCAATCCCTTCGATTCCATTTTGTTCCATTCCATTCCATTCGAATCCTTTCCATTACAGTATATTCCAAATGATTCCATTCCACTCAATTCCATTCCATTCGATTCCAATCCAATTGATTGCACTCCATTGCATTCCATTGCATTCTATTAGATTCCATTCCATTGATTTCCATTCCATTCCATTTGATTGCATTCCATTCGATTCCATTCCATTTGAATCTATTACATTGCATTCCAGTACATTCGAGTCCTTTCTATTCCAGTCCATTCCATTCCGTTCCATTCCATTCAATTCCATTCCATTCCATAATATTGCATTCCTTTCAATTCCATTGTATTCACATAAATTCCAATTGAAACCATTTCTTTTGTGTTCATTGTATTTGAGTTCATTCCTTTTGAGTCCATTACATTTGTGTCCATTCCATTCCATGCCATTCCATTTCATTCTATTACATTTGAGTCCATTCCATTTGAGCCCATTCCTTTCCATTCGACAACATTATATTCGCTTGTATTATATTTGACTCCACTCCATTCCATTGTGTTCCATCTGCTTTCATTCCATTCTATTCCATTCCATTCCATTCCATTCCATTCCATTCCATTCCATTCTATTCCATCCCATTCCACTCGATTCTATTCCTTTCGAGTCCATTCCATTCGAATCCTTTCCATTCGATTCCATTCCAATCTATTAGATGCCATTCCTTTCTATTCAATTCCATTCAACTTCATTCCATTCCATTCCATCCGATTCCATTCCATTCTATTCCTTTCCTTTGCATTGCATTGCATTCATTTCAATTCCATTCGAGTCCATTCCACTCCAATCCATTCAATTCGAGTCCATTCCATTCCAGCCCATTCCATTCAAGTCCGTTCCATTCCATTACATTACATACGATATCTCTCCTTTACACTGCATTCCATTCTGTTACTTTCGAATCCATACAATTCCATTCCTTTTGATTCCATTCCATTCTATTCGATTCCATTCGACTCTATTCCATTCGATTCCATTCCATTCCTTTCCATTCCATTCCTTTCCATTCCATTCTGTTAGATTCCTATCCGTTCAATTCTATTTTGTTCCAGTCCATTCCGTCCGAGTCCTTTCCATTCCAGTCCATTCCTTTCGATTCCAATGGACTTCCAATGTAATATCTGATTCCAATCCATTTGATTCCATTCTGCTCAATTCCACTCCGTTCCATTCCATACATTCCATTCCCTTCGATTCCTTTGCATTCCATTCCATTCCATTTTATTACATTCCATTCTATTTCATTCCATTCTAATCAATTACTTTGCTATCCATTACATTGGAGTCTGTTCTATTCCAGTCCATTCCATTCCAGTCCACTCCATTTGATTCCATTGCATTCTATTCCATTGAATACTATTGCATTCCATTCGATTCCATTCAATTCGAATGAATTCCATTCAAAACCATTCCTTTCGAGTCCATTATAGTTGAGTCCATTCCATTCCAGTTGATTATATTTGCATCCATTCCATTCCATTCAATGCCATTGCATTCAGTTCTATTCCATTCGAGTCCATTCCATTCCATTCTACTACATTCCAATCGATGCCATTCCATTTAATTCTATTCCTTTCGACTCCATTCCGTTCCATTGCATTACATTTGATTCCATTCCATTCTATTACTTTATGTTCCATTCCATTCCAAACCACTCCATTCGTTTCCATTCAATTCGAGTCCATTACACTGCAGTCCATTCCATTCGAGTCCATTCCTTTCCAATCTATTCCATTCGAGCCTATTCCATTCCAATGCATTCCATTCCATTCGATATTTTTTCATAACACTCCATTCCATTATATTCCTTTCAATTCCATTCAATTCCTTTCCATTCGATTCCATTCCATGCGATTCCATTCCATTTGACTCCATTGGATTCGAGTCCATTCCATTCCATTCCATTCCATTCCATTCCATTCAAGTTGATTCCATTCCCTTCCATTACTTTCCATTGGATTCTATTCCATTCGATTCGATTTTGTTCCAGTCCATTCCATTCGAGTCCATTCCATTCCAGTCCATTCCATTCGATTCCATTCCACTAGATTCCACTCCATTCCATTGCTTTGCATTCCATTCTATTCCATTCCATTCCATTCCATTCCTTTCCATTTGATGACATTCCTTTCGATTCCGTTCCATTCGAACCTATTGCATTGCAATCCATTACATTCGAATCCGTTCCCTTCCAGGCCATTCCATTCCGGTCCATTCCATTAAATTCCATTCCTTTCGATTCCATTCCATACTATTGCATTCCATTCGATTCTATTCTATTCGAATGAATTCCATTCGAGACCTTTCTTTTCGAGTCCATTCTATTTGAGTCCATTCCATTCGAGTCCATTACATTTGGGTCCATTCCATTCCATTGCTTTTGATGCCATTCAATTCGATTATATTCCATTCGATTATATTCCATTCGAGTCCATTCCATTCGAGGCTGTTCCATTTCATTCCATTTCATTCCATTCCATTCGATATCTTTCCATTACACTCCATTCCATTCCATTCTTTTCCATTCCATTCAATTCCTTTCCATTCAATTCCACTCCATGCTTTCCACTCCATTCGACTTATTTACATTCGAGTCCATTCCATTCCATTCTGTTCCATTCCATTCAATCCGATTCCATTACATTCTATTCCTTTCCATTCTATTCCATTCCACCCCATTCGTTTCCATTCCATTTGAATCCATTACTCCTCTGTCCATTCCATTCGAATCCATTCCTTTCCAATCCATTCCATTTAAGTCCATTCCATTCCATTTCAGTCGATATTTTTTCATTACAGTCCTTTCCTTTCTATTCCTTTCGATTCCATTCAATTCTTTTCCATTCGATTCCATTCCATGCTGTTCCATTCCATTTGACTCCATTCCATTCCATTTCATTCTATTCCATTCCGTTCCGTTCGATTCTATTCCATTCGAGGGGATTCCATTCCATTGCTTTCCATTCGAGGTTATTCCATTCGATTCGATTCCATTCCATTCCATTCCATTTCAACCAATTCCATTCCATTCCATTCCATTCCTTTCCATTCCATTCCATTCCATTCCATACCATGCCATTTGTTTCCTTTCCATTCGATTCCATTCCACTCCAGTCCATTCCATTCGAATCCATTCCATTCCATTCCATTCCATTCGATAGGTTTCCTTTACACTCCATTCCAATCTATACTTTTCGTTTCCTTTGAATTCCATTCCATTTGATTCCTTTCCATTCGATTGCATTCTTTTCAACTCCATTCCTTTCGCGTCCATTCCATTCCGTTCCATTCCGTTCCTTTCGATTCCAATCCATTCGATTCCATTTTTGTCCAGACCATTTCATTCGATTCCATTCCATTTGAATCCATTCCATTCGATTCCATTCCACTCGATTCCACTCCGATCCATTCCATTGTGTTCCATTCTATTCCATTACATTGCATTCCATTCCATTCTATTTGATTACATTCCATTCAATTACATATATTTCGAATCAATTACATGAAAATCCATTACATTCGTGTCCATTCTATTCCAGGCCATTCCATTCGATATCTTTCCAGTACACTCCATTCCATTCTATTCCTTTTGATTCCAATCAATTCCATTCAATTTGATTCCATTCCATTCGATTCCATTTCATTCGAGTCCATTGCATTCCTGTCCATTCCATTCCATTCCATTGCATTCCATTCGTTTCCTTTTGATTCCAATCCGTTCCATTAAATTTTATTCCAGTACATTCCATTCGAGGTCATTCAATTCCAGTCAATTGCATTCGATTCCATTCCATTCGATTCCATTCCTCTCAATTCCACTCCATTCGATTCCATTCCTCTCAATTCCACTCTGTGCCATTCCATTGCATTCCATTCTATTCCATTCCATTGCATTCCATTCCTTTCCATTGGATTAAATTCCATTCAAATCCATTCCATTCTAATCAATTACTTGCAATCCATTACATTAGAGTCCGTTCTATTCCAGTCCATTCCATTCCTGTCCGTTCCATTCGATTCCATTCCATTCGATTCCATTTCATTCAAATCAATTACATTGCATTCCATTGCATTCGAGTTCACTCTATTACAATCAATTCCTTTCCAGTCCATTTCATTCGATTATATTCCATTAGATTCCATTCCATACTTCTGCATTCCTTTCCATTCCATTCTATTCGAATACATTCCATTCGAGACCATTTCTTTCGAATTCATTCTATTTGAGTCCTTTCCATTCAAGGCGATTATATTTGGGTCCTTTCCATTCCATTTTATTCCATTCGATGCCATTCAATTCGTTTCTTTTCCATTGGAGTCCATTCCATTCAAGTCCATTCCATTCCATTTGATGCCATTCTAATAGATTCTATTCGATTCAACTCCATTCCATTCCGTTCGGTTCCATCCGATTCCATTCCATTCTATTCCTTTCCTTTCCATTCCATTCCATTCCACTCGTTTCCATTCCATTCTAGTCCATTCCACTCCAGTCCATTCAATTCAATTCCACTCCACTCCAGTCCCTTCCATTCGAGTCCATTCCATTCCTTCCATTCCATTCGATATCTTACCATTACACTCCATTCCATTCTATTCCTTTCATTTCCGTTCAATTCCATTCCATTTGATTCCATTCCATTTGATTCCATTCCTTTCGTCTCCCTTCCATTCGAGTCCATTCCTTTCCATTCCATTCCATTACATTACATTCCGTTCCGTTCGATTCCAATCCGTTCAATTCCATTTTGTTCCAGTCCATTCCATTCGAGTCCATTCTATTCCAGTGCATTCTATTTGATTCAATTCCGTTCTTTTCCATTCCTTTTGATTCCTTTCCATTCTACTCCATTCCATTTGAGTTCATTCCAATCCATTCCATTCCACTCGTTTCCGTTCGATTCCAATCCATTTGATTCCATTTTGTTCCAGTCCATTGCATTCGATTCCATTCCATTTGATATCTTTCCGTTACACTCCATTCCATTTTATTCCTTTAGAATCCATTCAATTCCATTCCATTTAATTGTGTTAAATTCGATTCCATTCTGTTTGACTCCATTTCATTCGAGTCAATTCCATTCCATTCCATGCCATTCTGTTCGATTCCAATCCATTCAATTCCATTTTGTTCCAGTCCATTCATCACGATACATTCCATTTGATTCCATTCCATTCAATTCCACTGCATACTACTGCATTCCATTCGATTCCATTCTATTAGAATAAATTTCATTTAAGACCTTTCCTTTCGAGTCCATTCTATTTGAGTCCAATCCATTCGAATCTATTACATTTGGGTCCATTCCATTCCATTCAATTCCATTCCATTCCATTACATTCCATTCCCTTAGATGCCCTTCCATTCAGTGCTATTCCATTCGAGTACATTCCATTAGAGTCCATTGAATTCCGTTCCATTCCACTCATTGCCATTCCACTCGATTCTATTCCTTTCAAATCCATTCCATTCCATTCCATTCCATCCAATTCCATTCCATTCTATTCCTTTCCGTTCCATTCCCTTTCATTCATTTCCATTCCATTCGAGTCCATTCCACTCCAGTCCATTCCGTTCTAGTCTGTTCCATTCCAGTCCACTACATTCGAGTCCATTCCACTCCAGTCCATTCCGTTCTAGTCTGTTCCATTCCAGTCCACTACATTCGAGTCCATTCCTTTCCATTCCATTCCAGTCGGTATCTTTCCATTACACTCAAATCCATTCTATTCTTTCGATTCCATTCAATTCCATTCCATTCGATTCCATTCCATTTGATTCCTTTCCATGTGAGTCCATTCCATTCCATTCCATTCCGTTGGATTCCTATCTTTTCCATTGTATTTTGTTCCAGTCTATTCGATTCTAGTCCATTCCATACCAGTCTTTTCCATTCGATTCCAATCTATGTGATTCCATTCCATTCGATTCCATTCCAATCGATTCCACTCCGTTCAATTCCATTGCCTTCCCTTCAATTACATTCCATTGCATTGCACTCCATTGCAGTTGATTACATTCCTCTCATTTCCGTTCCATTCGAATCAATTACATTGCAATCCATTACATTCCAGTCACTTCTATTAAATTCCATTCCATTCCAGTCCATTCCATTCAATTCGTTTCAACTCAATTCCATTCCATACTACTGCATTCCATTCGAATCCATTCTATTGAAATAAATTGATTCAAGACCATTCCTTTCGATTGTATTGTATTTGAGTCCATTCCATTATAGTCCGTTACATTTTGTTCCATTCCATTCCATTCCATGCCATTCCATTCCATTCTATTTAATTCCATGCCATTACCTTCCATTCCATTCCATTCCATTCCATTCCATTCTATTCCAAGTTATTCCATTATATTCTATTCCATTCGAGTCCATTCCATTCGAATCATTTCCATTCCATTCCATTAAATTCCATTAGAAGCCATTCCATTCGATTCTATTCCATTCGACTTCCTTCCATTCCATACCGTTCCATCTGATTCCATTCCATTTTATTTCTTTCCATTCCTTTCCATTCCATTCCATTCCATTCTATTCCATTCGTTTCCAGTCCATTCGAGTCTTTTCCATTCCATTCCATTCCATTCCATTCTAAGCCATTCTATTCGGTTCTATTCCATTCGAATCCATTCTGTTCCATTCCCTTCCATCCGATTCCATTCCATTTTATTCCATTCCATTCCATTCCATTCCTTCTTTTCCATTCCATTCTATTCCCTTCAATTCCATTCAATTACATTCTATTCGATTCCACTCCATTCGATTCCATTCCATTTGACTCTCTTCAATTCGAGGCCATTCCATTCCATTCCATTCCATTCCGTTCGATTCCAATCCTTTCCATTACATTTTGTTCCATGCCATTTCATTCGAGTCCATTCCATTCCAGTTCAATCCAGTCCATTCCTTTCCGTTCAAATCCATTCCATTCGATTCCATTCCACTTGATTCCTCTCCATTCCATTCCATTGCATTCCATTCTATTCCATTTCATTGCATCCCATTCCATTCCATTTGAATACATTCCATGCGATTCCATTCCATTCGAATCTATTACATAGCAGTCCATTTCATTCGAGTCCTTACTAATTTAGTGCATTCAATTCTTTTCCATTCCATTCGATTCCATTCCATTTGATTCCATCCCATAATATTGCATTCCATTCGATTCCATTCTATTCTTATAAATTCTATTCGAGAACATTCCTTTTGAGTCCATTCTGTTTGAGTCCATTCCATTGGAGTCCATTTCATTTGGGTCCATTCCATACTATTCCTTTCCTTTCCATTCTATGCCATTCCATTTGATTCTATTCCATTGGATTCCAATCCATTTGTTTCCATTCCTTTCCATTCGATGCCATTACGTTCGATTCTATTCCATTCGACCCATTCCATTCCATTGCATTCCATCCACTTCCATTCCATTCTATTCCTTTCCAGTCCATTCCATTCCATTCGTTTCCATTCCATTCGAATCCCTTCCACTCCAGTACATTCCATTCGAATCCATTCCATTATAGTCCATTCAATTTGAGTTCATTCAATTCCATTACATACTTTTCGATATCTTTCCATTTCACTCCATTCCATTCTATTACTTTGAATTCCATTCAATTCCATTCCATTCAATTCCATTCCATTCGTTTCCATTCCATTCAACTCCATTCCATTCCATTCTGTTCCTTTTGATTCCAATCCGTTCGATACCATTTTGTTCCAGTCCATTCCATTCGATTCCATTGCATTCCTTTGCGTTCCTTTATATGCCATTACATTCGATTCTCTTCCATTTGAATCTATCCAATTCCATTCCATTTCATTCCTTTCCATTTCATTCCATTCAATTAAATTCTTTTGCGTTTTATTCCTTTCCATTCCTTTATATACCATTACATTCGATTCTCTTCCTTTCGACTCTATCTGATTCCATTCCATTTTATTCCTTTCCATTTCATTCCATTCAATTACATTCTTTTCTGTTTCATTCCTTTCCATTCCCTTCATTTCCAAACCATTCTATTCCATTCCACTCCAGTCCATTACATTTGAGTCCATTCCATTCCAGTCCTTTCCATTACAGTCCATTCCATTCCATTAAATTACATTTGATGCCATTCCAATAGATTCTATTCCATTCGACTCCATTCCATTCCATTCCGTTGCATCCGATTCCATGCCATTCTATCTTTTAAAATTCATTCCATTCCATTCCATGCGTTTCCATTTCATTTGTTTCCATTCCACTCCAGTCCATTCCATTCGAGTCCATTGCATTCCATTCGAGACAATTCCATTCCTGTCCATTTGATATCTTTCCATTTCACTCCATTCCATTCTATTCCTTTTGATTCCATTCAATTCCAGTCCTTTCAATTCCATTCATTTCGATTCCATTCCATTTGATTCCATTCCATTCGTTTCCATTCCATTCGAGTCCATTCCGTTTGATTCCATTCCATTCCTTTCCATTCGATTCCAATCTTTTCAATTCCATTTTGTTCCAGTCCATTCCAGTCGATTCCATTCCATTCCTTCCAATTTGATATCACTCCATTACACTCTTTTCCATTCTATTCCTTTTGATTCCATTCAATTCTATTCCAGTCAATTCCATTCCATTCGAATCAATTACATTGCAATCCATTACATTCTAGTCTGTTTTATTCCAGTCAATTCCGTTCCAGTCCATTCCATTTGATTCCTTTCAATTCGACTCCATTCCATTCGACACCATTCCATTCCATTCCATTACGTTCTATTCCGATCTGTTCGAATGCATTTTGTTCCAGTCCAATCAATTAGAGTCCATTCCATTGCAGTTCATTACATTCGATTCCATTCCACTCAATTCTACTCCTTTCCATTACATTGCATTCCATTCTATTCCATTCCTTGCATTCCATTCTATTCTATTGGATTACATTCCATTCGATTCCATTCCATTCGAATCAATTACATTGAAATCCATTACACTTCTGTCCTTTCTAATCCAGGCCATTCCATTCCGGTACATTCCATGTGATTCCATTCCATTTGATTCCTTTCCATAATATTGCATTCCATTCGATTCCATTCTATTGGTAAAAAATCGATTCGTGGCCATTCCTTTCGAATATATTCTATTTGAATCCATTCCATTCGAGTACATTATATTTGGGTCCATTCCATTCCATTCCATTTCATTCCATTCCAATCCATTCCATTCAATGACATTCCATTCGATTCTATTCCATTCGAGTCCATTCCAATCCAGTCCATTCCCTTTGAGTCCATTCGATTCCATTTCATTCCATTCGATATATTTCCTTACACTCCATTCCATTCTATTCCTTTTGATTCCATTCAATTCCATTCCATTCAATTCAATTCCATTCGATGCCATTCCATTCGATTTCATTCCATTGAACTCCATTCCAATCGATTCGATTACATTCCATTCTGTTCTGTTCGATTGCAATCCGTTTGATTCCATTTTGTACCTGTCCATTCCATTAGAGTACATTCCATTCCAGTACATTCCATTTGATTCCATTCAATTCTATTCCATTCCATTGTATTCCATTCCACTCGATTCCACTCCGTTCCATTCCATTGCATTCCATTCTATTCCTTTACGTTGCATTCCTTTCCATTCCGTTTGATTACATTCCATTCGATTCCATTCCATTCAAATCAGTTACTATACAATCCATTACATTCGAGTCCATTCTATTCCAGTCCATTCCACTCTTGTCCATTCTGTTCGATTCCATTCCATTCTATTGCATTCCATACTATTGCAATACATTCGATTCCATTCTATTCGAATAAATTCCATTCAAGACCATTACTTTCGAGTCCATTATATTTGAGTCCATTCAATTCGAATCCATTCCATTCTATTCCATTCCATTTGATGCCATTCCATTCTATTCTATTTCATTCGACTGCATTCAATTCCATTCCTTTCCATCCAATTCCATTCCATTCCATTCCTTTCCATTTCATTCCATTCCTTGCCATTCCACTGCATTCGTTTCCATTCCATTCAAGTCTATTCCACTCCAGTCCATGCCATTGGAGTCCCTTCCATTCCATTTTATTCCATTCGACTGAATTCTGTTCCATTCCATTTGATCCGACATCTTTCCATTACACTCCATTCCATTCTATTCCTTTGGATTTCTTTCAATTCCGTTTCATTCTATTCCATTCCTTTCTGCTTCATTCCATTCGACTCCATTCCATTGAAGTCCATTCCATTCCATTCTATTCCATTCTTTTCCGTTCCATCCGATTCCAATCGGTTCCATGCCATTTTGTTAAAGTCCTTTCCATTCGAAGTCATTTCATTCAATTCTATTCCATTTGACTCCCTTTCATTCAATTCGGTTCTAACAGATTCCATCCATTCTATTCCTTCCCATTCCATTCCATTCCATTCCATTCGAGTCCATTTCACTCCAGTCCATTCCATTCGAGTCCATTCCACTCCAGTCTGTTCCATTGGAGTCCATTCCATTCCAGTCCATTCCATTTGAGGCCATTCCATTCCATTCCATTTGATATCTTTCCATTGCACTCAATTATATTCTATTCCTTTCGATTACATTCAATTCCATTCCACTCATTTCCATTACATTCGATTCCATTCCGTTCAACTCCATTCCATTTGAGTCCTTTCCATTCCATTCCATTCCGTTCTGTTTGATTAAAAATCGTTCAATTCCATTTTGTTCCAGTCCATTCCATTCGAGTCCATTCCGTTGCAGTCCATTCCATTCGATTCTATTCCATTCGATTACATTCCACTCGATTCCACTGCATTCCACTCCTTTGCATTCCATTGTATTCCATTCCATTGCATTCCATTCCATTCCATTTGATTACATTCCTTTCGATTCCATTCAATTCGAGTCAATTTCATTGCAATCCATTACATTTGAGTCCATTCTATTCCAGTCCATTGGAATCCGGTACATTCCATTCAATTCCATTCCATACTATTGCATTCCATTCGAAACCATTGCATTCGAATAAATTCCATAAGAGACTATTCCTTTCATGTCCATTCAATTTGAGTCCATTCCATTTGCGTCCATTATATTAGGGTCCATTCCATTCCCTTCCATTCCATTCCATTAGATGCCATTTCATTCGATTCTACTCCATTCGAGACCATTCCACTCCAATCCATTCCATTAGAGTTCATTTCATTCCAGTCCAATCCATTCGTTTCCATTCCATTCCATTCCATTCCATTCCATTCCTTCCATTCCATTCCAATTCGATATGTTTCCATTACTCTCCATTCCATTGTATTCCTTTCGATTCCATTGAATTTCATTGCTTTCGATTCCATTACTTTCTATTCCATACCATTCCATTCGATTCCATTCCATTCGACTCCATTCCATTCGAGTCCATTCCAATCCATTCAATTCCACTCTGTTCCATTCAATTCCAATCCATTCAATTCCATTTTGTTCCAGTCCATTCCATTCGAATCCATTCCATTACATTCCATTTGATATCTTTCCGTTACACTCCATTCCATTCTATTCCTTTCGATTCCATTCAATTCCATTCCATTCGATTCCATTCCATTCGATTCCATTCTGTTTGACTCCATACCATTCCACTCCATTCAATTCCATACCATTCCATCCCATTCGATTCCAGTCCGTTCGATTCCATTTTGTTCTAGTCCATTCCATCCTGCTACATTCCATTCCATTCCATTCCATACTATTGAATTCCATTCGATTCCATTCTATTTGAGTAAATTTCATTCGAGACTATTCCTTTACAGTCCATTCTATTCGAGTCCATTCCATTTGAGTCCATTCCATTCGATTCCATTCCATTTGATTCCTTTCCACTCGATTCCACTCTGTTCCATTCCATTGCATTCCATTCTATTCTATTCCATTGGATTCCATTCCATTCCATTTGATTATGTTCCATTCGATTACACTCAATTTCAATCAATTACATTGCAATCCATTACATTCGAGTACGTTCTATTCCACTCCATTCCATTCCGGTCCATTCCATTCGATTCCATTCCATTTGATTCCATTCCATACTATTGCATTCCATTTGATTCCATTCTATTCGAACACATTTCATTCGAGACCATTCCTTTCGAATCCATTCTTTTTGAGTCCCTTTTATTCGAGTCCATTACATTTCGGTCCATTCCATTCCATTCAATTCCATTCCATTTCATTCCATTCCATTCCATTCCATTCCATCCGATTCCATTCCATTCTATTCCATTCCATTCCATTCGTTTCCATTCCATTCGAGTCCATTCCACTCCAGTCCATTCCATTCGAGTCCATTCCACTCTCTTCCATTCCATTTGAGTCCATTACATTCCAGTTCATTTTGTTCGAGTCCATTCCTTTCCATTCCATTCCTTTCGATATCTTTCCATTACACTCCATTCCATTCTATTCCTTTGAATTCCATTCAATTCCATTCGATTCGATTCCATTCCATTCCGTTCTATTCCAATCGACTCCATTCCATTCTAATCCATTCCATTCCTGTCCGTTACATTGGAGTCCATTCCATTCCGTTCCATGCGATTCGATATCTTTCCATTTCACTCCATTCCATTCTATGCCTTTTGATTCCATTCAATTCCATTCCATTTGATTCCATTCCATGCAGTTCCATTCCATTTGACTCCATTCCATTCGAGTCCGTTCCATTCAACTCCTTTCCATTCCGCTCCGTTTGATTCCAATCATTTCCATTCCGTTTTGTTCCTGTACACTCAATTGTTGTCCCTTCCATTCCAGTCCGTTCCATTCGATTCCATTCCATTCGATTCCATTCCATTCGATTCCATTCCACTCGATTCCACTCCATTCCATTCCATTGCATTCCATTCTACTCCATTCCTTTGCATTCAATTCTATTCCATTCCATTGCATTCCATTTCATTCCAATTGGTTATATTACATTTGATTCCGTTCCATTCGAAACAGTTACATTGCAGTCCATTACATTCGAGTCCATTCTATTCATGTCCATTCCATTCCGTTCCATTCCATTCGATTGCATTCTATTGAATTCCATTCCGTACTATTGCATTCCAGTTGATTCCATTCAATTCGAATAAATTTGTTTCAAGACCATTCCTTATAAATTCATTCTATTTGATTCCATTCCATTCGAATCCATGACATTTTGGTCCATTCCATTGCATTTCATTCGATGCCATTCCATTCTATTCTATTCCATTCGAGTCCATTCCATGTGATTCCATTCCATTCCATTCGATGCCATTCCATTGGATTCTATTCCATTCGACTCCATTCCATTCTATTCTATTCCATCCGATTCCATTACATTCTATTCCTTTCCTTTCCATTCCATTCGTTTCCATTCCTTTCGAGTCCATTCCATTCCATTTGATGCCATTCCATTCGATTCTATTCCATTCGACGCCATTTCTTTTAATTCTGTTCCATCCGATTACATTCCATTCTATTCCATTCTACTCCAGTCCATTCCATTCCAGTCCATTCCTTTCGACCCAATTCCATTTGAGTCCATTCCATTGCATTCAATATCTTTCCATAACACTCCATACCATTCTATTCTTTTCGAATCCATTCAATTCCATTCCATTCGATTCCATTTTCTTCGGATCCATTCCATTCGACTGCATTCCATTCGAGTCCATTCCATTCCATTTCATTCCTTTTGTTTCCATTTCATTCGAGTCCATTCCTCTCCAGTGCATTTTATTCGAGTCCATTCCATTCCAGTCCATTCCATTCGAGTGCATTCTATTCCATTCCATTGCATTTGATATCTTTCCATGACACTCCATTCCATTCTCTTCTTTTCGATTCCATTCAGTTCCAATCGATTCAATTCCATTCCGTTAAAATTCATTCCATTTGACTCTATTCCATTCGAGTCCATTCCATTCCATTCCATTCCGTTCCTTTCGATTCCACTCCGTTCGATTCCATTTTGTTCCATTCCATTCCATTCGAGTCCATTCGATTCCATTCCACTCCGTTCGATTCCATTTTGTTCCATTCCATTCCATTCGAGTACATTCCATTCCAGTCCATTCCCTTCAATTCCAATCCGTTTGGTTCCATTCAATTCGATTCCATTCCATTCGATTCCATTCCACTTGATTCCACTCCGTTCCATTCCATTGCATTTCATTCTTTTCCATTCCATTGCATTCCATTTGATTACATTCCATTGGATTCCAATCCATTCGAATCAATTACATTGCAATCCATTACATTCGAGTCCATTCTATTCCAGTCCATTCCATTCCGGTCCATTCCATTTGATTCCATTCCATTTGATTCCATACTATACTATTGCATTCTATTCGATTTTATTCTATTCTAATGAATTCCATTCGAGACCATTCCTTTTGAGTCCATTTTATTGTACTACATTTCATTTTAGTCCATTACATTTGGGTCCATTCCATTCCATGCCATTCCATTCCATTCAATGCCATTGCTTTCAATTATATTCCATCAGAGTCCATTCCATTCCATTCCATTCCATTGGAGTCCATTTGATATCTTTCCATTACTCTCCATTCCATTCAATTCCATTCCATTCAGTTCCATTCCATTCAATTCCATTCCATTCAATTCCATTCCATTCTATTACATTCCATTCGAGTTCATTCCATTCCATTCCTTTCCGGGGCGTTCGATTACAATCCTTTCGATTCCATTTTGTCCCAAGCCCATTCCATTCGAGTCCATTCCATTCGAATACATTTAATTCGATTCCATTCCATTGGAACCACTCCAATTGATTCCACTCCGTTCCGATCCATTCCATTGCATTCCATTCTATTTCATTCCATTCCATTCCATTCCATTCCATTTCATTCCATTCCATTCCATTCCATTCCATTTCATTCCATTCCATTCCATTCCATTCCATTAAATTCATATCAATTTCATTGCAATCCATTACATTCGAGATTGTTCTATTCCAGTCCATTCCATTCTGGTCCATTCCATTCGATTCCATTCCGTACTATTTCATTCCATTCAATTCCATTGTATTCAAATAAATTCCATTTGAGACCATTCCTTTTGATTCCATTCTATTTGAGTCCTTCCATTTGCAACCAATATATTTGGTTCCATTTCATTCCATTCCATTCCATTTTATTCCATTCCATTCGATGCCATTCCATTCGTTTCTATTCCATGTGAATCCATTCCATTCGATTCCATTCCATTTGTCTACATTCCACTCTGTTCCATCTGATTCCATTCCATTCTATTCCTTTCCATTCCATTCCATTCTTTCCATTCGTTTCCATTTCGTTCGAGTCCATTTCACTCCAGTCCATTCCATTCGTGTCCATTCTATTCCAGTCAATTCCATTCAAGTCTATTCCTTTCCATTCCATTCCATTCGATATCTTTCAATTACTCTCCGTTCCATTCAATTCCATTCCATTCAATTGCATTCCATTCGATTCCATTGAATTCAATTCCATTCCATTCGACTCCATTCCATTCGAGTCCATTCCATTCCGTTCCATTCCATTCGATGCCATTCCATTCGATTCTATTCCATTCGACTCCATTCCATTTGATTCCATTCCACTCGATTCCACTCCACTCCATAACACTACATTCCATTCTATTCCACTTCATTCCGTTCCATTCCATTCAATGCCATTCTTTTCGATTCTATTCCATTCAAGTCCATTCTATTCGTGTCCATTCCATTCCATGCGATTCCATTCCATTCTATTCCTTTCCATTCCATTCCATTCCATTCGTTTTCATTCATTCGTGTCCATTCCCCTCCAGTCAATTCCATTCGAGTCTCTACCATTCCAGTCCATTCCATTCGAGTCCATTCCATTCCATTCCATACCATTTGACATCTTTCCATTACACTCCATTCCATAATACTCCTTTCGATTCAAATCGATTGCATTCCATTTGTTTCCATTCCATTTGATTCCATTCCATTCAACTCCATTCCATTCGAGTGCATTCCATTCTATTCCATTCCATTCCATTCCTTTAAATTAAAATCCTTTCCATTCCATTATTGTCCAGTACAGTCCATTCAAATCCGTTCTATTCCAGTCCTTTATATTCAATTCCCTTCCATTTGATTCCATTCCACTCTACACCACTGTCTTCCATTCCATTCCATTAAATTCTATTCCATTCCATTGCATTCCATTCCATTCCATTTGATTACATTCCATTTGATTTCTTTCCATTCACATCAATTACATTGCAATCCTTTACATTCATGTCTGTTCTATGCCAGTCCATTCCATTCCGGTCCATTCCATTCGATTCCATTCCATTTGATTCCATTCCATACTATTGCATTCCATTTGATTCCATTCCATTCGAATAAATTCCATTAGAGACCATTCCTTTTGAGTCCATTCTATTTGATTCCATTCCATTTGAGTCCATTACATTTGAGTCCATTTCATTCCATTCCATTCCATTTGATGCCATTCCATTCTATCATATTCCATTCGAGTCCATTCAATTCCATTACATTCCATTCCAATCTATTCGATGCCATTCCATTTGATTCTATTCCATTCTACTTTATTCAATTCCATTCAGTTCCATCCATTTCCATTCCATTCTATTCCTTTCCATTACATTCCTTTCGTTTCTAATCCATTCGAATCCATTCCGCTCCAGTCCATTCCATTTGAGTCCATTCCATTCCAGTCCATTCCATTCGAATCCATTCCATTCCATTCGATGTCTTTCCATTGCACTCCATTAAATTCTGTTCCTTTCGATTCCATTCAATCCCATTCCATTCGATTGCATTCCATTCGGTTCAATTTCATTCGACTCCATTGCATTCGAGTACATTCCATTCCGTTCCATTCAATTCTAATCTGTTCGATTACCTTTTCTTACAGTCCATTCCATTCAAGTCCATTCCATTCCAGTCCATTCCATTCGATTCCATTCCATTCACATCTTTTCCATTCAATTCCACTCCACTCGATTCCAGTCCGTTCCATTCCATTGCATTCCTTTCTATTCCATTCCATTGCGTACCATTCCATTCCATTTTATTACATTCCATTCGTTGCCATTCCATTCAAATAAGTTACATTGCAATCCATTACATTCGAGTCCGCTGTATTCCAGTCCATTTCATTCCTGTCAATTCCATTAGATTCTATTCCATTCTATTGCATTCCATACAATTGCATTCCTTACGATTCCATTCTATTTGAATAAATTCAATTCGAGTCCATTCCTTTCGAGTCCATTCTATCTGAGTCCATTCCGTTTGAGTCCATTACATTTGGGTCCATTCCATTCCATTCTATTCGATGCCATTCCATTTCATTCTATTCCATTCGTTTCCATTCCTTTCGCTTCCATTCCATTCCATATGTTGCCATTACAGTCCATTCTATTCCATCCAATTCCAATCAATTCTATTCATATCCATGCCATTATATTCCATTTGTTTCCATTCCATTCGAGTCCATTCCAATCCAGTCCATTCCATTCGAGTCCGTTCCATTCCAGTCCATTCCATTCCATTCCACTCGATATCTTACCATTACACTCCATTCCATTCTGTTCCTTTCGATTTCATTCAATTCCATTCCATTCGACTCTATTCCGTTCGATTCCATTCCTTTAGACTCCATTCCATTGGAGTCCATTCCATTGCATTCTGTTCTATTCCATTCTGTTTGATTCCAATCTGTTTGATTCCATTTTGTTCCAGTCCATTCCACTCAAGTCCATTCCATTTGACTCCATTCCATTCGATTCCATACCATTCAATTCCATTGCATTCGAGACCATTCCATTCCTTTCCATTCGATTCCAATAGGTTCGATTCCGATTTGTTCCATTCCATTCCATTTGATTCCATTCCATTCCAGTCAATTACATTCTATTCCATTCCATTTGATTCCATTCCATTCAATTCCATACAAGTCGATTATACTCCGCTCCATTCCATTGCTTTCCATTCTAATCCATTCCATGCCATTCCATTCCCTTCTATTCAATGCCATTCCATTTGATTATATTCCATTCGAGTACATTACTTGCGATTCCAATCCATTCCATTCCATTCCATTTGATGCCATTCCATCTGATTCCAATCCATTCGAAATACATTGCATTCGAGACCATTCCATTCTATTCCATTCCATTCTGTTCCGTTGAAATCCAAGTCGTTCGATTCTATTTTGTTCCAATCCATTCCATTCAACTGTACTCCATTCAATGCCATTCCATGCGATTCCATTCCAATTGATTCCATTCCACTCGATTCCACTCCATTCCATTCCATGGCATTCAATTCTATTCCACTTCATTGAATTCCATTCCATTCCATTCCATTCCATTCCATGCCATTCTATTCGATTCTATTCCATTCGAGTCCATACAACTCGAATCCATTCCTTTCCATTCCACTCGATGCCATTCCATTCGATTTTATTCCACTTGACTCCATTTCCATTCCATTCCATCTCATTCCATTCCATTCTATTCCTTTCCATTACATTCCATCTGATTCCATTCCATTCTATTCCTTTCCATTCCATTCCATTCCATTCCTTCGTTTTCATTCTTTCATGTCCTTTCCACTCCAGTCCATTCCATTTGAGTCCTTTCCATTCCAGTCCATTCTATTCGAGTCCATTGCTTTCCATTCCATTTAATATCTTTCCATTACGCTCCATTCCATTACATTCCTTTCAATTCCAATCAATTCCATTCCATTTGATTCCATTCCATTCGATTGAATTCCATTCGACTCTGTTCCTTTCGAGTGCATTCCATTCCTTTCGATTCCAATCCATTCCATTCCTTTTTGTTCCAGTCCATTCCATTCGAATCCATTACATTCCTGTCCATTCCATTCGATTCCTTTCAATTCGATTCCATTGCACTCAATTCCACTCTGTTCCTTTCCTTTCCATTCAATTCTATACCATTCCTATGCATTCAATTACATTCCATTTGATTACATTCCATTCAATTCCATTCCATTCGAATCAATTACATTGCAATCCATTTCATGTGAGTCCGTTCTATTCCAGTCCATTCCATTGTATTACATTCCATTCTATTCCATTCCATACTACTGCATTCCATTTGATTCCATTCTATTCGAATAAATTTCTTTCGAGACCATTCCTTTCAAGTCCATTCTATTTGATTCTATTCCATTCGATTCCATTACATTTGGGTACTTTCCATTCAATTCTTTTCTTTCCATTAGATGCCATTCCATTCTATTCTATTCCTTTCAAGTCCATTCCATTCGAGTCCATTCCATTCCATTCCATTCCAATTCGTTCGATGCCATTCCATTTGATTCTATTCCGTTCGACTCCATTCCTTTCCATTCCGATCCATCCTTTTCCATTCCATTCTATTCCTTTCCATCCCATTCCATACGTTTCCATTCCATTCGAGTCTATTCAGTTGCAGTCCATTCCATTCGAGTCCATTTTTTCCAGTCTATTCCTTTCGAGTCCATTCCATTCCATTGCATTCGATATCTTTCCATTATACTCCATTCCATTCTATTCCTTTCGATTTCATTCAATTCCATTTTATTCGATTCCATTCCATTCTGTTCCATTCCATTCGACTCCATTCCATTCCAGTCTATTCCATTCCATTCCATTCCGTTCCATTCTGTTCCATTCGATTCCAATCTGTTCGATTACATTTTGTTCCAGTGCATTTCATTCGAGTCCATTCCATTCCAGTCCATTGCTTTTGACTCCATTCCATTCGATTCCATTCCACACATTTCCACTCCTTTCCATTCCATTGCATACCTTTCTATTCCATTCCATTGCATGCAATTCCATTCCATTCCATGTAATTACATTCCATTTGTTTCCATTCCATTCAAATCAATTACCTTGCAATACTTTACCTTCGAGTCTGTTCTATTCCAGTCCATTCCGTTCATGTCCACTTCATTCTATTCCATTCTGTACTATTGCATTCCATACGAAACAATTTTATTCAAATAAATTCCATTCAAACCCATTCCTTTCGATTTCATTCTATTCGAGTCCATTCCATTCGATTCCATTACATTTGTGTCCATTCCATTCCATTCAATTCCATTCGATGCCATTCCATTCGAATCAATTCAATTCGAGTCCATTCCCTTCAATTCCATTCCATTCCATTCGAAGCCATTCCATTTGACTCCATTCCATTCCACTCCATTCTATAAGATTACATTCCATTCCATTGTATTACTTTCCACGCCATTCCATTACATTCGTTTCCATTCCATTCTAGTCCATTCCACTCTGGTCCATTCCATTCGAGTCCATTCCATTCGAGTCCATTCCATTCCATTCCATTCGATATTTTTCAATTACACTGCATTCCATTGTATTAATTACAATCGATTCCATTCAATTTCATTCCATTCAAAGCCATTCCATTCGAGTCCCTTCAATTCCATTGTATTCCATTCCGTTCAATTCTTATCTGTTCGATTCCATTTTGTTCAAGTCCTTTCCAATGGAATCCATTCCTTTCCAGTCCATTCCATTCGATTCCATTCCATTCGACTCCTTTGATTTCGAGACCATTCCATTCCCTTCCTTTCCATTCAGTTCATTTCCAATACATTCGATTCCATTTTTGTTCCACTCCATTCCATTCGACTCCATTCCATTCGATTTCATACCACTCAATTCCACTCCATTCCATTGCATTCCATTCTATTCCATTTCATTCCATTCCATTACATTCTAGTCGGTGCCATTCCATTCGATTATTTTCCATTTGACTCAATTCCATTCCATTCCACTCCATTCCGTTCCATTCCATTCCATCCGATTCCATTCCATTCTATTCCTTTCCATTCCATTCCATTCGTGTCAAGTCATTCGAGTCCGTTCCACTGCAGTCCATTCCATTCCAGTCCATTCCATTCGAGCCCATTCCATTCTATTCCATTGCATTCCATGTGATATCTTTCCATTATACTCCATTCCATTATATTCCTTTCAATTCCATTCAAATACTTTCCGTTTGAATCCATTCCATTTGATTCCATTCCATTCGACACCATTCCATTTGACACCATTCCATTCGAATCCATTCCTTTCCATTCCATTCCATTCCTTCCTATTGCAATCCATTCCATTCCATTTTGTTTCAGTCCATTCCATTCGAGTCCATTCTATTCCAGTCCATCCCTTTCAATTCCATTCCACTCAATTCCATTCCACTCAATTCCACTCTGTTACATTCTATTGCATTGCATTCTATTCCATTCCATTGCATTCCATTCCATTTTGTATAATTCAATTCAAATCCATTCCATTCGAAACAATTACATGGCAATCCATTACATTCGAGTCCATTCCATTCCAGTCCATTCCATCGATTAAATTCCATTCGATTCCATTCCATTTGATTCCATTCCACTCGATTCCACTCCTTTCCATTCCATTGCATTGAATTCTATTCCATTCCATTGCACTTCATTCCATTCCATTTGATTACATTCCATTGAATTCCATTCCATTCGAATCTATTACCTTGCAATCCAGTATATTCGAGTCCTTTCTATTCCTTTCCCTTCCATTCTGGTCCACTCCATTTGATTCCATTCCATTTGATTCCTTTCCATACTGCTGCATTCCATGCGATTCCATTCTACTTGCTTAAATTCCATTCGAGACCATTCCTTCTTGTCCATTTTATTTGAGTCCATTCCATTCGAGTCCATTATATTTGGGTCCATTCTAATTCATTCCATTCCATTTCATTCCATTCAATTCCATTGCATTCGATTCTCTTCCATTCGAGTCCATTCCATTTGAATCCATTCCATTCCGTTCCATTCCATTCCATTTGATACCATTCCATTCGACTCCATTCCACTCCATTCCATTCCATTCCATTCCATTCCGTTCCATTTGTTTCCATTCCACTGCAGTCCATTCCATTCGAGTCCATTGCACTCCAGTCAATTCCCTTCAAGTCCATTCCATTGTAGTCCATTCCATTCCACTCCATTCCATTCCATTCAATATCTTTCCATTGCACTCCATTCCATTCTATTCCTTTTGATTCCATTCAACTCCATTTCATTCGATTCCATTCCAATCAATTCCATTTCATTCGAGCCCATTCCATTCGAGTCCATTCCATTCCATTCCATTCCATTCCGTTTGATTCCATTTTGTTCCAATCCATTCCATTCGAGTCTTTCCATTCCAGTCCATTCCATTTGATTCCATTCCATTCATTTCCATTGCACTCGATTCTACTACGTTCCATTCCATTTGATTGCATTCTATTCCATTCCATTGCATACCTTTCCATTCCATTTGATTACATTCCCTTTTGTTTCACTCCTTTCACATCAAATACATTGCAATCAATTACATTCGAGTCCGTTCTATTCTAGTACATTGCATTCCTATACTTTCCATGCTATTATATTCCATTCAATTCCATTCCATAATATTGCATTCCATTCGATTCCATTCTATTCGAATAAATTGTATTTGAGACCATTCCTTTAGAGTATATTCTATCTGAGTCCATTCCATTCGAGTCCATTTCCTTTGGGTCCATTCCATTCCATTCCATTCCATTCCATTCCATTCCAGTCAATTTGATGCCATTCCATTCTATTCATTTCCATTTCATTCCTTTCCATTCCATTCCACTCCATTCCATTCGTTTCCACTCCATTCGAGTCCATTCCACTCCAGTCCATTCCGTTCCATTCCAGTCCATTCCATTCGAGTCCATTCCTATCCATTCCGTTCCATTCCGTTCCATTCGATTCCGTTCCATTCAAGTCCATTCCATTCGAGTCCATTCCATTCCATTCCATTCCATTCTATATGTTTCCATTACTCTCCCTTCCATTGTATTACTTTCGATTCCATTCAATTCCATTCCATTTGATTACATTCCATTCGGTTCCATTCCATTCGACTCCACTCCATTCGAGTCTTTTCTATTGCATTCCATTCCATTCCGTTCTGTTCAATTCCAATCCGTTTGATTTCATTTTGTTCCTCTCCATTCCATTCGACTCCATTCCATTCCAGTCCATTCCATTCGATTACATGCCATTCGGTTCCATTCCATTCGACTCCATTCCATTCGAGTCTATTCCATTGCATTCCATTCCATTCCGTTCTGTTTGTTTCCAATCCGTTCGATTACATTTTGTTCCTGTCCATTCCATTCGACTCCATTCCATTCCAGTCCATTCCATTCAATTACATTCCATTCGATTCTATTTCACTCGATTCCACTCCGTTCCAATAAATTGCATTCCTTTCTATTCCATTGCTTTGCATACCATTCCATTCCATTTGTTTACATTCCATTCTATTCCATTCCATTCAAATCCATTACATTGCAATCCATTACATTCGAGACCATTCTATTCCAGTCCATTCCATTCCTGTACATTCCATTCGATTCTATTCCATTCTTTTCCGTTCCATACTATTGCATTCCATACGATTCCATTCTATTCAAATAAATTCCTTTCGAGAAAATTACTTTCGAGTACATTCTGTTTCAGTACATTCCATTCGAGTCCATTACATTTGGGGCCATTCCATCCCATTCAATTCCATTCCATTCTATTCCATTCTGGACCATTCCATTGGAGTCCATTCCATTCCATTCCAATAAATTCGATGCCATTCCATTCTATTCTATTCCATTCGAGTCCATTCCATTCCATTTCATTCGATGCCATTCCATTCGATTCTATTCCATTCTAGTCCATTCCATTCCATTCGATGCCATTCCATTCGATTCTATTCCATTCGACTCCATTCCATTCCATTCCATTCCATCTGATTCCATTCCATTGTATTCATTTCCATTCCATTCCTTTTTATTCGTTTACATTCCCTTTTGAGTCCATTCGACTCCACTCCATTCCATTCGAGTCCATTCCATTCCAGTCCTTTCCATTCGAGTCCATTCCGTTCCATTCCATTCCTTTCGATATTTTTCCTTTACACTCCAATTCATTCCATTTTTTGATTCCATTCAATTCCGTTCTGTTCAATTCCATTTCATTCGGTTCCATTCCATTCGACTGCATTCCAATTGAGTCCATTCCATTCCATTCCATTCCATTCAATTCCAATCCTTTTGATTCCATTTTGTTCCAATCCATTCCTTTCGTGTCCATTCCATTCCATTCCATTCCACTCCATTCGATTCCATTCCATTCCATTCCATTCCACTCGATTACCCTCCGTTCCATTCCATTGCATTAGATTCTATCCTTTCCAATGCATTCCATTCCATACCTTTTGATTAAATACCATTTGATTCCATTCCATTAGAATCAATTACATTGTAATCCATTACATTCGAGTCCGTTCTATTCCAGTCCATTCCATTCCAGTCCATTCCATTTGATTTCATTACATTCGATTCCATTCCATGTTATTGCATTCCATTTGATTCCATTCTATTTGAATAAATTCCATTCGAGACCTTTTGTTTCGAGTCCGTTCCATTTGAGTCCATTCCATTCGAGTCCATTACATTTGGGTCCATTTCATTCCATTGCATTCGCTGCCATTCCATGCTATTCTATTCCATTCGAATCCATTCCATTAGAGTCCATTCCATTCCATTCCTTTCCAATCCATTCGATGCCATTCCATTCAATTCTATTCCATTCGACTCCATTCGATTCCATTCCGTTCCAACCTATTCCATTCCATTATATTCCTTTCCAACCTATTCCATTCCATTCTATTCCTTTCCATTCCATTCCTTTCCATTCGTTTCCATTCCATTCGTGTCCATTGCACTGCACTCCATTCCATTTGAGTCCATTGCATTCCAGTTTATTCCATTCGATTCCATTCCATTCCATTCCACTCCATTTGATATCTTTCCATTGCACTCCATTCCATTAAATTCCTTTTGATTCCATTCCATTCCATTCCATTCTGTTCCATTCCATTCGAATCCATTCCATTCTATTCCTTTCCATTTCATTCCATTCCATTCTGTTCCGTTCAATTCCAATCTGTTCGATAACATTTTGTTACTGTCCATTCCCTTCGAGTCCATTCCATTCCACTCCATTCCATTCGATTCCATTCCATTCAATTCCATTCCATTCGATTCCATTACACTGGATTCCACTCCATTCCATTCCATTGCATTCCTTTCTATTCCATTCCATTGCACACCATTCAATTCCATTGGATTACATTCCTTTCATTTCCATCCCATTCAAATCAATTACATTGCCATCCATTACATTCGTGTCCATTCTATTCCTGTCCATTCCATTCGATTCTAATCCATTCGATTCCATTCATTATTATTGCATTTCATACGATTCCATTCTATTCGAATAAATTCCATTCGAGACCTTTCCTTTCGAGTCTATTCTATTTGAGTCCATTACATTTGGGTCCATTCCATTCCATTCCATTCCATTCCATTCGATGCCATTCCATTCGAGTCCATTTCATTCGATTCCATTTGATTCCATTCGATGCCAATTCATTCGATTCTATTCCAATCGAATCCATTCCATTTCATTCTGTTCCAACCGATTCCATTCCCTTCTATTCCTTTCCATTCCATTCGTTTCCATTCCATTTGAGTCCATTCCACTCCGGTACTTTCCGTTCGAGTCCATTCCATTCGATATCATTCCATTACACTCCATTGCAGTCTATTCCTTTCGATTCCATTCAACTCCATTCAATTCGACTCCATTCCATTTGATTCCATTCCATTCGACTGCATTCAATTCGTGTCCATTCAATTCCATTCCATTCTTTTCCGTTCCATTCGATTCCTATCCATTGGATTCTGTTATGTTCCAGTCCATTCCATTCGAGTCCATTCCATTCCAGTCCCTTCCATTCGATTCCATTGCATTCGAATCCATTCCACTGAATTCCACTCCATTCCATTCCTTTGCATTTCATACTATTCCATGCCATTGCATTCCATTCCATTCCTTTTGATTACTTTCCATTCGATTCCGTTCCATTCAAATCAATTAGTTTGGAATCCATTATATTCGAGTCTGTTCTATTCCAGTCCATTCCTTTCCATTCCATTCCATTGGATTCCATTCCATTGGATTCCATTCCATACTATTGCATTCCTTTAGATGCCATTCTAATTCAATAAATTCCATTCGAGAGCATGCCTTTCCAGTCCATTCTATTTGAGTCCATTCCATTCGAATCCATTACAATTGTTTCCATTCCATTCCATTCCATTCCATTCTATTCGATTCTACTGAATTCGAGACCATTGTATTCGAGTCCATTCCATTCCATTTCATTCCATTCCATTCCATTCCATTCCATTCCATTCCATTCTCTTTGATGCAATTCCATTGCAATTCCATACAATTCTATTCCATTCGACTACATTCAATTCCTTTCTGTTCCAACAGATTCCATTCCATTCTCTTCCTTTCCATTTCATTCCATTCCATTCCATTCGTTTCCATTACATTTGAGTCCATTCCACTCCAGTCCATTTCATTCAAGTCCATTCCATTCCAGTCCATTCCATTCGAGTCCATTGCATTTCACTCAATATCTTTCCATTACAATCTATTCCATTGTATTCCTTTCATCACCATTCAATTCCATTGCATTCAATTCCATTCCATTCAATTCCATTCCATTCGATTCCATTACATTCAATTCCATTTCACTCGATTCCACTCCATTCGATTCCTTTGCATTCCATTATATTCTATTCTATTGCATACCATTCCTTTCCATTTGAATACATTCCATTCGATTCCATTGCATTCAAAGCAATTTCATTGCAATCCATTATATTCGAGTCCTTTCTATTCCAGTCCATTCTATTCCAGTCCATTCCATTCGATTCCATTCCATACTATTGCATTCCATGCGATTCCATTCTATTCGAATAAATTCCATTCGAAACCATTCCTTTCTTGTCCATTCTATTTGAGTCCATTCCTTTCGAGTCCATTACATTTGGGTCAATTCCATTTCATTCCATTACATTTAATTCCATTCAATTCCATTGCATTCGATTCTATTTCATTTGAGTCCAATCCATTCAAATCCATTCCATTCCATTTGATGTCATTCCATTCGATTATATTCCAATCGACTTCATTCCACTCCATTCCATTCCATCCGATTCCATTCAATTGTATTCCTTTCCATTCCATTTCATTCCGTTTTATTCCATTCCATTCGAGCCAATTCCACTACAGTCCATTCTATTCAAGTCCATTCTACTCCAGTCAATTCCATTCGAGTCCATTCCATTCTATTACATTCCATTTGAGTCAATTCCATTCCATACCATTCCATTTGGTATCTTTTCTTTGCACTCCATTCCTTTCAATTCCATTCAATTCATTTCATTCGATTCCATTCCATTCGAATCCATTCTATTCCTTTCCATTCCATTCCGTTCCGTTCGATTCCAATCAGTTTGATTCCATTTTCTTCCAGTGCATTCCTTTTGAGTCCATTCCATTCCAGTCCATTCCATTCCAGTCCATTCCATTCGATTCCTTTCCATTCAATTCCATTCCTCTCGATTCCATGGCATTCCATTCCATTTCATTGCATTCTATTCCTTTCCATTGCATACCATTCCATTCCATTTGATAACATTCCATTTGATTCCATTCCATTCAAATCAAATACATTGCAATCCATTACATTCGAGTCCTTTCTATTCCAGTACATTCTATGCCTGTCCATTCCATTCGATTCTGTCCCATTCATTTCCGTTCAATACTATTGCTTTCCATTAAATTCCATTCTATTCAAATATATTCGATTCAAGACCATTCCTTTTGAGTCCATTCTATTTGAGTCCATTCCATTCGAGTCCATTGCATTTGGGTCCATTCCATTCCATTCCATTCGATGCCATTCCATTAAATTCCATTCCATTGCATTCGATGCCATTCCATTCGATTGTATTCCATTCGACTCCATTCCATTCCATTCCATTCCTTCCTATTCCATTCCTTTCTATTCCTTTCCATATTCGTTTCCATTGCATTCGAGTATGTTCCTCTTCAGTCCATTCCATTCGAGTCCATTCTATTCCAGTCCATTCCATTCGACTCCATTCAATTCCTTTCCATTAGATATCTTTCCATTACACTCCATTAGATTCTATTCCTTTCTATTCCATTCAATTCCATTTCATTCTATTCCATTCCATTCGATTCCATTCCAATTGACTCTATTCCATTCGGGTCCTTCACATTCCATTGCATTCCATTCTGTTCTGTTTGATTCCCATTTGTTCGATTCCATTTTCTTCCAGTCCATTTCTTTCGTATACAGTCCTTTCCAGTCCATTCCATAGGAGTCCCATGCTTTCCATTCTATTCAATTCGATGTCATTCCTTTCTATTCTATTTGATTTGGGTCCATTCAATTCGAGTCCATTCCATTCCATGCCATTCCATTCTATTCTATTCCATTTGACTTCATTCCATTCCATTCCATTCCATCCGATTCCATTCTATTGTTTTCCATCCCATTCCATTCTTTTCCACCCCATTCCATTCCATTATATTCGTTTCCATACCATTCGAGTCCATTCCACTCCAGTCCATTAGATTCGCGTCCATTTCATTCCAGTGCATTCCATTCAAGTCCATTCCATTCCTTTGCATTCCAGTAAATTCCATTTGATGCCATTCCTTTCTATTCTATTCCATTCGACTCCATTCCATTCCATTCCATTCCATTCCGTCTGATTCCATTCCATTCTATTCCTTTCCATTCCATTCCATTCCTTTCCATACCGGTTATATCCCTTCCATACGAGTCCACTCTAGTCCAGTCCATTCTATTCGAGTCAATTCCACTCCAGCCCATTCCATTGAAGTCCTTTCAATTCCAGTCCATTCCATTCGTGTCGATTCCATTCCATTCCATTCCATTTGATATCTTTCCGGTACACTCAATTCCATTCTATTACTTTTGATTCCATTCAATTCTATTTCATCCGATACCATTCCTTTAGATTCCATTCCATTCGACTCCATTCCATTCTATTCATTCGAATTAATTACATTGAAATCCGTTACATATGAGTCTGTTCTATTCCTGTCCATTCCATTCCAGTCCATTCCATTCACTTTCATTCCATTCGATTCCATTCCATACAATTGCATTCCATTCGATACCATTCCTTCCGAATAAATTCCATTTGATATCATTATTTTCGAGTCCATTCTATTTGAGTCCATTCCATTCGAGTCCATTACATTTTGGTCCATTTCATGCCAGTCCATTCCATTCCATTCTATTCCATTCTAGACCATTCCTTTCAAGTCCATTCCATTCCATTCTAGACCATTCCTTTCAAGTCCATTCCATTCCATTCTAATCCATTTGATGCCATTCCATTCTATTTCTATTCCTTCAAGTCCATGCATTTCGAGTCCATTCCATTCCATTCCATTCGATGCCATTCCATTCGATTCTATTCCATTTGACTCCATTCCATTCCATAACATCCGATTACATTTCATTCTATTCCTTTCCATTTCATTCCATTCCATTATATTCGTTTCCATTCCATTTGAGTCCATTCTTCTCCAGACCCTACCATTCAAATGCATTCCATTCCAGTCTCTTCCATTCAAGTCCATTCCATTCCATTGCATTCCATTCGATATCTTTCCATTACACTAAAATTCATTCTATTCTTTCCATTCCTTTCAATTCCATTCTAGTCGACTCCATTCTATTCGATTCCATTCCATTCGAGTCCACTCCAATTGAGTCCATTCCATTCCATTTCATTCCATTCCGTTCCTTTCTATTCCAATCTGTTCGATTCCATTTTTTCCAATCCATTCCATTCGAGTGCATTCCATTCTAGTCCATTCCATTCGATTCCATTGCATTCAATTCCATTCCATTAGTTTCCATTCCCCTCGATTCCACTCCATTCCATTCCATTGCACTCCATTCTATTCCACTCCATTGCATTCCATTCCATTCCACTCATTGCCATTCCATTTGATTCAATTCCATCCGACTGCATTCCTTTGCATTCCATCTCCAACCTATTCCATTACATTCTATTCCTTTCCATTCTGTTCCATTCCATTCCATTTCATTCCATTCGTTTCCATTCCATTGTAGTCCATTTCACTCCAGTCCATTCCATTCGAGTCCATTCCATTCCAGTCCATTCCAGTCGAGTCCATTCAGTTCCATTCCATTCCATTCGATATCTTTCCTTAATGCTCCATTCCATTCTATTCCTTTCGATACCGTTCAATTCCATTCCATTCGATTCCATTCCATTCGACTCCATTCCATTTGAGTACATTCTATTCCATTCCATTCCATTCCATTCCGTTCGATTCCAATCCCTTCCATTCCATTTTGCTCCAGTCCATTCCATTGGAGTCCGTTACATTCCCGTCCATTACATTCAATTCCATTCCATTTGATTCCATTGCACTCGATTTCATTCCAGTCGATTCCACTCCATTCCATTCTATTGCATTCCATTCTATTCCATTACATTGCATTCCATTCCATTTCATTTGATTACATTCCATTCGATTCAATTCCATTCGAATCAATTACATTGCAATCCATTACTTTCAAGTCCATTCTATTCCAGTCCATTCCATCGGATTCCATTATAGTCAATTCCGCTCCATAATATTCCATTCCATTCCATTCCATTCCATTCGTTTCCATTCCATTAGAGTCCATTCCACTCCAGTCCATTCCATTCGAGTCCATTCCATTCCAGTGCATTCCATTCGTTTGCAATCTATTTCATTTCACATCTTTCCATTACACTCCGTTCAATTCTATTCCTTCCGATTCCGTTATATTCCATTTCATTCGTTACCATTCCATTCGATTCCATTCCATTTGACTCCATTCCTTTAGAGTCCATTATGTTTGGTCCATTCCATTCCATTCCATTCGATGCCATTCCATTCGGGTCCATTCCATTCCTGTCCATTCCATTCGAGTACATTGCGTTCTATTCCATTTCATTCGATGCCATTACATTTGATTCTATTCCATTTGAATCCGTTCCGTTCCATTCCATTCAATCCGATTTCATTCCATTCTATTCCTTTCCGTTCCATTCCATTGCATTCCCTTCCATTCCACTCCATTCGTTTCCATTCCATTCGAGTCCATTCCACTGCAGTCCGTTCCATTCGAGTCCATTCCACTCCAGTCCATTCATTTTGAGTCCATTCTATTCCATTCCATTCCATTTGATATCTTTCCATTACACTCCATTCCATTCTATTCCTTTCAGTTCCATTCAATTCCATTCCATTCGATTCCATTTCACTTGGTTCTATTCCATTCGACTCCATTCCATTGGAGTCCATTCCATTCCATTCCATTCCATTCTGTTCCATTCCAAACGATTCCTTTACATTTTGTTCCAGTCCAATCCATTCAAATCCATTACATTCCTGTCCATTCCATTCATTTCCATTCCATTAAATTCCATTCCATTTGATGCCATTCAACTCGATTCTTCTTCGTTCCATTCCATTACGTTCCATTCTATTCCGTTGCTTTGCATTCCATTCCATTCCTTTGGATTACATTCCATTCGATTCCATTCCATTCAAATGAATAACATGGCAATCAATTTCATTCGAGTCCGTTCTATTCCAGTCCATTCCATCCGGTCCATTCCATTTGATTCCATTCAATTCGATTCCATTCCATTCGATTCCATTCCATTCTAATCAATTATATTGCAATCCATTACATCCCATTCCGTTTTATTCCAATCAATTCCATTCCGTTCCATTACATTTGATTCGTTACCAATCGATTCCATTCCATACAATTGCATTCCATTTGATTCCATTCTATTTCAATAAATTCCATTCGAGAACATTTCTTTTGAATCCATTCTATTTGAGTCCATTCCATTCCAATCTGTTATATTCAGGTCCATTCCAATCCATTCCATTGCAATGAATGCCATTCTATTCGATTCTCTTCCTTTTGAGTCCCTTCCATTCGAGTCCATTCCATTCCATTCCATTCCATTTGATGCCATTCCATTCGATTCTATTCCATTCGACTCCATTCCGTTCCATTCCATTCCATCCAATTCCATTCCATTCTATTCCTTTCTATTCCATTTCATTACATTCCATTCCTTTCCATTCCATTACTTTCCATTCCATTTGAGTCCATTCCACTCCAGTGCATTCCATTCGACTGCATTTCATTCCAGTCCGTTGCATGCAATGCCATTCCCATCGGATCCATTCCATTCGAGTTCATTCCATTCCGTTCCATCCTGATTCCATTCCATTCTATTCCTTTCCATTCCATTCCATTGCATTCCAATCCATTCCATTCTTTTCCATTCCATTCGAATCCATTCCTCTAAAGTCCACTCCATTCGCGTCCATTCCATTCCAGTCCATTCCTTTAGATTCCATTCCATTTGATTCCATTCCATTTGTTTCCTTTCCACTCGTTTCCAATCCATTCCATTCCATTGCATTCTTTTCCATACCATTCCATTGCATTCCATTTCCTCGCATTTGATTAAATTCCTTTTGAATCCATTCCATTTGAGTCATTTAAATTGCAATCAACTACTTTCGTGTCTGTACTATTCCAGTAAATTTCATTCCGGTCCATTCCTTTTGATTCCATTCCATTCGATTCCATTTCATTTGAATCAATTACATTGCAATACATTACACTCGAGTCCATTCTATTCCAGTCCATTCCATTCTGGTCCATTAAATTCAGTTTCATTCCATACGATGCCATTCCATACTGTTGCATACGATTCGATTCCATTCTATTCGAATAGATTCCATTTTAGACCATTTCTTTCGAGTCCATTCTATTTGAGTCCATTCCATTCGTGTCCGATACATTTGGTTCCATTCCATTTCATTTCTTTCCATTCCATTCCATTCCATACGATTCCATTCCTTTCGATTCTATTCCGTTCAAGTCCATCACATTCGTGTCCATTCCATTCCATTCCAATCCATTCGATGCCATTCCATTGGATTCTATTCCTTTCGACTCCATTCCATTCCATTCCTTTCCAACCATTTCCATTCACTTCCATCCGTTTCAATTCCATTCTGTTCCTTTCCATTCCATTCCAGTCAATACCATTCCTTTGGGTTCCATTCCATTCGATGAAATTCCCTTCTATTCCATTCCATTCCATTCGATGCCATTCCATTCAAATCCATTCCATTCCATTCCGTTCCATCTGATTCCATTCCATTCTATTCCTTTCCATTCCATTACATTCCTTTCCATTCGATTCCATTCGTTTCCATTCCATTGAAGTCCACTACACTCCAGTCCATTCCATTCTTGTACATTCCATTCCAGTCCATTCCATTCAAATCCATTCCATTCCATTCCTTTCCATTCGATATCTTTCCATTACAATTCATTCCATTCTATTCCTTTCGATTCCACTCAATTACATTACAATCAATTCCATTCCATTCAGTTCCATTACACTTGTCTCCATTCCATTCATGTCCATTCCATTCCATTCAATTCCAATCTGTTCAATTCTAATTTTTTCCAGTACATTTTCTTTCGAATCCATTCCATTCCAGTCCATTCCATTCGATTCCATTCCTCTAGATTCCACTCCGTTCCATTCCATTGCATTTCATTACATTCCATTGCATTCCATTACATTCCATTTTATTACATTCCATTTGATTCCATTCCATTCAAATCAAGTACATTGCAATCGATTACATTCGAGCACGTTCTATTCCAGTCCATTCTATTCCAGTCCATTCCATTCAATTCCACTCCATTCGATTCCATTCCATTCTATCGCATTGCATTCGATTCCATTCTATTAAAATAATTTCCATTTGAGACCATTCGTTTCGAGTCCATTCTATTTGAGTCCATTCCATTCGTGTCCATTACATTTGGGTCCATTCGGTTCAATCCACTCCATTGCATTCCATGCCATTCCATTCTGTTCTATTCCATTCATGTCTATTCCGTTCGTGTCCATTCCATTCCATTCCACTCCGTTCCATTTGATGCCATTCCATTCGATTCTATTCCATTCCACCCCATTCCATTCTATTTCCTTCCATCCAATTCCATCCCATTCAATTCCTTTCCATTCCATTCCATTCCATTTGTTTCCATTCCATTCGTGTCCATTCCACTCCAGTCCATTCCAGTCGAGTCCATTCCATTCCAGTCCATTCCATTTGAGTCCAGTCCATTCCATTCGATATCTTTGCATTACACACCATTCCATTCTATTCCTTTCGATTCCATTCAATTCCATTCCATTCGGTTCCATTCCTTTCGAATCCATTCCTTTTGTGTCCATTCCATTCCGTTCGATTCCAATCCATTCGATTCCATTTTGTTCCAGTCCATGTCATTTGAGTCCAATCCATTCCAGTCCATTCCATTCGATTCCATTAAATTCGATTCCATTCCATATGATTTCATTCCACACAATTCCACTCCCTTCCATTCCATTACATTCAATTATATTCCATCCAATTGCACTCCATTCCATTCCATTTGATTACATTCCATTCGATCCCATTGCATTTAAATCAATTATATTGCCATGTATTACATTCGAGTCCATTCTATTGAACTCCATTCCATTCCAGTACATTCCATTCGATTCCATTCCATTCGATTGCATTGCACACTATTGCATTCCATTTGATTCCATTCTATGCGATTAAATTCCATTTGAGACCATTCCTTTCGAGTCCATTGAATTTGATTCCATTCCATTCTAGTCCATTACATTGGAGTCCGTTCCATTCCATTCCATTCCGTTCCATTCGATTCCAATCCATTCGACTCCATTTTGTTCCAATCCATTCCATTCCATTCCATTCTATTCGATTCCTTTCAATTCGATTCCATTCAACTCGATTCCAGTCCTTTCCATTCCATTGCATTCCACTCTATTCCATTGCATTGCATTTAATGCCATTCCATTTAATTATATTCCATTTGATTCCACTCCATTCGAATCAATTACATTGCAATCCATTACTTTCGATTCCGTTCTATTCCAGTCCAGTGCATTCCGGTCCATTACATTCGATTCCATTCCATTTGATTCAATTCCATACTATTGCATTCGATTCACATCCATTCTATTTGAATAAATTCCATTTGAGACCATTCCTTTCTTTTCCATTGTATTTGAATCCATTCCATTCGAGTCCATTCCATTTGGGTCCATTCCATTCCATTCGATACCATTCGATGCCATTCCAAATGATTCTATTCCATGCGAGTCCATTCCATTCGTGTCCATTCCATTCCATTGCATTCCATTCCAATCCATACGATGCCATTTAATTCCATTTTATTCCATTCGACTCCATTCCATTCCATTCCGTACCATCTGATTCCATTCCATTCTATTCCATTCCATTCCATTCCTTTCCATTCCATTCCATTCCATCCGATTCCATTCCATTCTATTCCATTCCATTCCATTCCTTTCAATTCCATTCGAGTACCTTCCATTTTATTCCATTCCATTCGATATATTTCAATTACACCTAAATCCATTCTATTCCTTTCAATTCCATTTAATTCCATTCCATTCGATTCCATTCCATTCGGTTCCATTCCATTCGACTTCATTCGATTTGAGTCCATTCCATTCCAGTCCATCCCTTTACGTTCCATTCGATTCCAATCCATTCGATTCCACTTTGTTCCAGTACATTCCATTGCATTCCATTCCATTCAATTCCATTCCCTTTGATTGCATTCCATTTGATTACATTCCATTCAATTCCATTCTACTTGATTCCACTCTATTCCATTCCGTTGCATTCCATTACATTCCATTCCATTGTTTACATTTCCATTCAATTTGATAACCTTCCATTCGATTCCATTTCATTCAAATCAATTACATTGCAATCCAATACATTCGAGTCCATTCTATTCCAGTCCATTTCATTCCTGTTCAATCCATTCGATTCTATTCCTTTCGATTCCATTACATACTGTTGCATTCATTTCGATTCCATTACATTCCAATAAATTCCATTCGAGACCACACTTTCGAGTCCAATCTATTTAAGTCCATTTCATTGGAGTCCATTATATTTGATTACATTACATTCCACTCCATTCGATTCCATTCCTTTTCATTCTATGCCATTTCATTCGATTCTCCTCCATTCTTCTCTATTCCATTCCATTTCATTCCATCCGATTCCATTCCATTCTACTCCTTTCCATTCGATTGATTCCATTCCATTTGTTTCCATTCTATTTGAGTCCATTCCATTCAGGTCCATTTCTTTCCATTCCATTCGATCCCATTCCAATCGATTCTATGCGATTTGACTCCATTCCATTCCATTCCGTTCCATCCGATTCCTTTCTATTCTATTCCTTTCAATTTCATTTCATTCCATTCCATTCCATTCCAGTCCAGTCCATTCCATTTGAGTCAATCTATTGCATTCCATTCCATTCGATATCTTTCCATTACACCCAATTCCATTCTATTCCTTTTGATTCCATTCAATTCCATTCCATTCGAATCCATTCCATTCGGTTCTATTCCATTAGACTCCATTCCATTTCAGTCCATTCCATTCCATTCAATCCCATTCCATTCCATTCGATTCCAATCCGTTCTTTTCCATTTTGTTCCAGTCCATTTCATTCGAGTCCATTCAATTCCATTCCATTCCATACCGTTCAATGCCATTCCATACAATTCTATTCCATTCGACTCCATTCCATTCCATTCAGTTCCATCCGATTTCATTCCATTCTATTCCCTTTCATTAAATTCCATTCCAATCCATGCCATTCGTTTCCTTTCCTTTGGAGTTCATTCGAATCCAGTCCATTCCAATCGAGTCCATTCCGTTCCCGTCCATTACATTCGATTACATTCCATTCGATTGCATTCTATACTTTTGCATTCCATTCGATTCCAATCTGTTCCAATAATTTCCATTCGAGACCATTCCTTTCATGTCCATTCTATTTGAGTCCATTCCATTCGAGTCCATTACTTTTGGGTACATTCCATTCCATTCCGTTCCCTTCGATTCCAATCCATTCGATTCCATTTTTTTCCAGTCCATTCGATTCGAATTCATTCCATTCCAGTCCATTCAATGACTTTCAAATCGATTCTATTCCATTTGACTCCATTCCATTCGATTCCGTTGCATCCGATTCCATTTCATTCTAAACCTTTCCGTTCCATTCCATTCCATTCCTTTCCATTCCATTCCATTCGCTTCCATTGCATTCGAGTCCATTCCACTGCAGTCCATTCCATTCAAGTACATTCCATTCTAGTCCATTCCTTTCGAGTCCATTCTGTTCCATTCCATTCAATATTTTTCCATCACAGTACTTTCCATTCTATTCCTCTCGATTCCATTCAATTCCATTCCATTCGATTCCATTGCAATAGATTCCATTCTATTCGACACCATTCCATTCGAGTCCATTCCATTCCATTCCATTCCATTCAATTTGTTAGCTTTCCATTACACTCCATTCATTCTATTCCTTTTGATTCCATTGAATTCCATTCCATTCAATTCCATTCCATTCGACTCCATTTCATTCGAGTCCCTTCGAATCCGTTCAATTCCATTCCATTCAATTCCAATCCGTTCGATTCCATTTTGTTCCTGTCCATTCCCTTCGATTCCATTCCATTCGATTCCATTCTACTCGATTCCAATCTTGTCCATTCCGTTGCATTCCATTCTATTCCATTCCATTGCATTGCATTCCATTCCATTTGATTACATTCCATTATATTCCATTCCATTCATTTCAATTACATAGCAATCCGTTACATTGGAGTCCGTTCTATTCCAGTCCATTCCATTGTGGTCCTTTCCATTCAATTCCATTCCATTCGATTCCATTACATACTACTGTATTCCATTTGATTACATTCTATTTGATTATATTCCATATGCAACCATTCCGCTTGAGTCCATTCTATTTGAGTTCATTCCATTCGAGTCCATTACATTCGGGTCCATTCCATTCCATGCCATCCCATTCCATTCCACTCCACTCGATTCCATTACATTTGATTATATTCAATTCGAGTCCGTTCCATTTGAGTACATTCCATTGCATTCCATTCCAGTCCATTCCATGTGATGCCATTCCATTCGATGACACTCCTGTCCTCTCCATTCTATTCTGTTCCATTCTATTCCAATCCGTTGGGTTCCATTTTGTGGCAGTCCATTCTATTCGAGTCCATTACATTCCACTCCATTCCATTCAATTCCATTCCATTCGATTCCATTTCATTCGATTCCATTCCACTTGATTCCACTCCGTTACATTCCATTGCAATTCATTCTATTCCATTCCATTGCATTCCCTTCCATTCCATTTGATTACATTCCATTCGATTCCATTCCTTTTGAAACAAATACATTGCAATCCATTCCATTCGAGTCCATTCTATCCCAGTCCACTCCATTCCGGTCCATTCCATTTGATTCCATTCCATTTGATGCCCCTCCATACTATTGTATTTCATTCAATTCCATTCTATTCAAATAAATTCCATTCGAGACCATTCCTTTCGAGTCCATTGTGTTTGATTCCATTCCATTCAAGTCCATTACATTTGGGTCCCTTCCATTCCATTCCATTGCATTCGAATCCATTCCATTCCATTCCATTCCATTCGATGTCATTCCATTGTATTCTATTCCATTAGAGTCCATTCCATTCGATTCCATTCTATTTCATTCCATTCCACTCCATTCCATTCTATGCCATTCCATTAGATTCTATTCCATTCCACTCCATTCCATTCCATTCCATTCCATTCCATTCCATTCTATTCCTTTACATTCCATTCCATTCCTTTCTTTTCCATTCCTTTCTTTTCCATTCCATTTAATCCATTCCACTCCAGTACATTCCATTTGAGTCCATTCCATTCCAGTCCAATCCGTTCGAGTCCATTCAATTCCATTCAATTTGATATCATTCCATTACACTCCATTCCATTCTATTCCTTTCTATTCCATTCATTTCCATTCCAATCAATTCCGTTCCATTCTGTTCAATCCCATTCGACTCCACTCCATTCTGTTCCATTCCATTCGAGTCCATTCCATTCCAGTCCATTCCATGCCATTCTATTCCTTTCCGTTCAATTCGATTCCATTTTGTTCCAGTCTATTTCATTCGAGTCCATTCCATTTCAGTATATTCCATTTGATTCCACCCCATTCAATTCCATTCCATTCGATTCTATTCCACCCGATTCCACTCTGTTCCGTTCCGTTCAATTCCATTCTATTCCATTCCATTGCATTCCATTCCATTCCACTTGATTTCATTCCTGTTGATTCCAATCCATTTGAATCAATTACATAGCAATTCATTACATTCGAGTCCATTCTATTCCAGTCTATTCCATTCCGGTCCATTTCATTCTATTACATACTATTTGATTCCATTCCATACTATTGCATTCCATTCGAATCCATTCTATCTGAAAAAATTCCATTCGAGACCATTCCTTCTGAGTCCATTCTGTTTGAGTCCATTCCATTAGAGTCCATTACATTTGGGTCCATTCCATTCCAGTCCTTTCCATTCGATTCCAATCCATTCGATTCAATTCAATTCAATTCCATTTCACCCCATTCCAATTCGTTCTTTCCATTGAATTCCATTCTATTCCATTTTGTTACATTCCATTCTGTTCATTTCCATTGCATTCCTTTCCATTCCATTTGATTACATTCCTTTTGATTACATTCCATTCGAATCTATTAAATTGCAATCCATTACATTCAAGTCCATTCTATTCCAGTCCATTCCATTCCGGTCTATTCCATTCTGTTCCATTTCATTCAATTCCATTCCGTACTATTGCATTCCATTTAATTCCATTATGTACGAATAAATTCCAAAGGAGACCATTTTTTTCGAGTCCATTCTATTTGAGTCCATTCCATTGCATACCATTCCATTCAATGCCATTCCATTCTTTTCTATTACATTCGAGTCTATTGCATTCGAGTCCATTCCATTCAATTTGATGCCATTCTTCTCAGTTCTATTCCATTCGATTTCATTCCATTCAATTTCTTTCCATCTGATTCCATTCCATTCTATTCCATTGCATTCCATTCCATTCCATTCGTTTGCCTTCCATGTCATTCAATTCCATTCCATTGGAATCAATTATATTGCAATCCATTACATTTGAATCCTTTCTATTCCAGTCCATTCCATTCCGGTCCATTCCTTTTGATTCCATTCCATTAGATTCCATTCCATACTATTGCATTCCATTCGATTCCATTCCTTTCGAATAATTACCATTCGAGATCATTGCTTTTGAGTCCATTTTATTTGAGTCCATTCCATTCGAGTCCATTACATTTTGGTCCGTTCCATTCCATTCCATTCCTTTCCGTTCCATTGGATACCATTCCATTCGATTCTATTCCATTCAAGTCCATTCGATTTGAGTGCATTCCATTCCACATTCCATTCTTAGCCATTTCTTTCAACTCTATGACATTCGACTCCATTCTATTCCATTCCGTTCCATCTGATTCCATTCCATTCTATTCCATTCCGTTCCATTCCCTTCCATTCCATTCGTTTCCACTACATTCGAGTCCATTCCACTCGAGTCCATTCCATTCCAGTCCATTCCATTTGAGTCCATTCCATTCCATTCCGTTCCATTCTATTCTATTCCGTTCTTTTCCATTTTGTTCCAGTCAATTCCATTCGAGTCCATTCCATTCCCGTCCATTCCATTTGATTCCATTCCATTCAATTCCATTCCACTCGATTCCGCTCCATTCCATTCCATTGCATTCAATTTTATTCCATTTCTTTTCATTCAATTCCATTCAATTTGATTACATTGCATTCAATTCCATTCCGTTCAAATCAATTACACTGCTGTCCATTACGTTCGAGTCTGTTCTATTCCAGTCCATTCCATTTTGGTCCATTCCATTCAATTCCATTCCATTCGATTCGATTCCATTTGAATCAATTACATTGCAATCCACTACATTCGACTCAGTTCTGTTCCACTCCATTCCATTCCAGTGCAATCCATTCGATTTCATTACATTCGATTCCATTTGACACTATTGCATTCCTTTTGATTCCATTCTATTCGAATAAATTCCATTCGAGACCATTTCTTTTGGTTCCTTTCTATTTGAGTCCATTCCCTTCATGTCCATTTCATTTGGGTCCATTCCTTTCCATTCCATTCCATTCCATTCAATGCCATTCCATTCGATTCTATTCCATTCGAGTCCATTCCATTCGAGTCCATTCCATTCAATTCTATTCCTTTCGACTCCATTCCATTCCATTCCGGTCGATCTGATTCCATTCCATTCTATTCCTTTCCATTCCATTCCATTCCATTCGTTTCCATTACTTTCGAGTACAATCCACTCCAGTGCATTCCATTCGAGTCCATTCCATTCCAGTCCATTCCATTTGATGCCATTCCACCCGATTCCACTACATTCCATTCCCTTGCTTTGCATTCTATTCCATTCCATTGCATTGCATTCCATTCCATTGGATTACATTCCATTTGAATCTATTCCATTCTAATCAAATACTTTGTAATCCATTACATTCGAGTCCATTCTATTCTATTAGTACCCTGAAATATTTACTCCTCCACTTCGTTACCCGCTGCCTCTCCAGTATCCCTTCCCACAGTCCCAGAGCCACCTCTGCTTAATGAGGAGGTTAGGACAGATGTCCCTTTCCACCCGATGCCATCTCCCAGGTTGCAGCCTCCTCATCGGGAAGAGGACTACCATGGCTAGTTGTGACATGGGTAGCTCTGGCCTCCAGGACTTCTCCCGGGGACCTCTGCTCAGGACATGGCATGGACAGAGGTGAGGTTACCATAAACTTCCTCGGAAATGACTACAAATCAGCTCAGACCATTCCAGCACCTAACACGCTGACAGCACAGGGTGGACCCACAGAAGGGGAAGGGCTAGGGCGTCCAGGGCCACAAGGGTCCCCACTCCCTGAGCCCTTGAGCACAGCCATCCAGATGTAAAGGACAATATGGGGTTTCCAAGGATTCCCAAGCCTGGGCTCTAGAGGTGAGTTCTAGCAAGGCCTCCAGATATCATCCCCATACATCCCCTCATCCTGTCTCACATATTGTAAAAACAAGGAAACTGAGGCTTAGAGAGGGAAGGGGCTTGAGCAGTCTCCCAGGCAGTTAGAGACAGAGCCCAAGTTAGATTCCATGTTTCTCTCAATTTTTTCCCCTAGGTCTGTTTCTGACTAGCTATGTGACCTTGGAAGAGTCGCTCCACCTCTCTGGGCATTGAAGGTTTACAACTTCTGACATGTTCATTCCAGAGGGTTATCAGGACCTGACAGCACTTCACCTAAACAAAACACTCTACTGTCTACTAATATTCGTATATCTCTTTTCTTCTCTGACCTCTGTAATAGCCCTATGAGGCTGTGAAAGTTGGTGCTTGTGTCCTATTACGCAGATGCAAATACTGGACTCAGAAAGACAAAGATCACACAGAAAGTTTGGGACAGGACTGGAACTAGAACCCAGGTCTCCCAAAGAATGGTGCTTGCCATCACTAAGGCCAGGAATATATTAAGACACCAAAATATGGAGAGTTGCTCAATGCATGCCACCAAGGTTAGAGCTGACCAACCCCAGAATGTTCAGCAGTTCTGGGACCCTAGAGTGGAGGACTCAAGGCAGAGGGTGATGCCTAAGTCACACACATCTGAACTCCAATCCAAACTCCACTACGCAGCTGTGTGACCCCACTTTATGAGGCTCAGCGTTCTCTACTACAAAATGAAACTATAGAAGGTACCAAAAAGCTCAGGATGAGGGGAGAACTGCACCCTGAATGCAGGACTACCAGGCAGGTGGTAAGCACTCATTAGCTTTTGTTTCAAGCACACAAATCATATGTTGTTTTTCATCATGTCTCCCCATGGTGTCTGGTCTATGGCTCCAGAACCAGGAGGCTTCTGATCAATCCTTATGCTAAATGATAGACAGATAGATGGGTGGGTGGTTAGACAAATAAATGGATGGATGCATGGATTGATAGATTGATGCTGGGATGAATGGATGGATGAATAGATGGATGAATGGATAAATGAATGGATAGGTGCTCAGAAGACAGAATAAAACAGGGATTCAAAATGAAAATAAAAAGATGATTGAAGGATGGGGCTGATACATGGAAGAGAGGTACAAGATCCTGCCCTTCGGGCTCCACTCAGCCCCACAACCACATACCTTGGGGTAGCACTGGCACATGCTCCAGATTATACCCCTGGACACCATGATGCTGCCGCAGAAGGTTTCATTGAACTGGGGCCCATCATGGCTCAGGAGGAATGTACTGAGAGTCAGAAGACCCATACATTGAAGCTGAAGCAGAAGGTCTTCTCATCTGCCAAGGTCTCCTCATATGCCATGGCTGCCAGCCATGCCCTGGCCTGTGCACCCCTGCCAGAAGGAACCCGTGCCATCCAGCATAAACATCCAGACAGGCTCACAGGAAGAGATGAAGCTCTTGGATCACTGCAAATCAAAGTTTAAAGTTAAAGGAAGGGCAAGACCCCTTCAGCTGCAGGCCTATTCCCTGGACCCAGCAATTCAGCAGGGCTGAAGGCAGCATGCTTCGGTAGACCAATGAACCCACTCCCCACCCTCTCTCCTTCCCTTGGGGCCCAGAAGGCCTGGAGTGCATGTGTGAATATGGGTGAGGGAGCATGCAAAGGAGGGAGAAGGGGAGGTTACAGGGGCTGGGCCTTAGACAAGCCTGTGACAAAACCTTCTTTGCCTACTTTGGGGCTGAACTGAGGAAGCAGCTGATCCCACACCTTCTAGCCCCGGGAAGCAGGGTAAAATTTTGCAGCCAAAATATGTTAAAATGCTGCCGGAGGATTTCAGGATCTCACTGCCCAGCATTTCAGGATCCTAGATTTTAGACCCTTCAAGGATCCTGGTCATTTTAGACCCTTCAATGGTCCTGGTCATTACCTCTTTCCTCCTGCCCAGCATATGCTCACACCAGCCCCTCTGCATCATAGTGCTTCCCACAGATCCTTTTTCTTACATTTTTTTAGAGAAGGTAAGCTCAGAGGGACTTTTAATCCATCCAGGATTCAGGCATGATGGCCCATATGTACTGGATGGTGACGATGCACATGGCACCATTCTAAGCATGTTACAGTGATTAACTCACTTAAGGGACTCCATGAGGCTGGTATTGCTATACCCACTGTGCAGAGGACGCTGAGCACAGACAAGTAACTTGCCCAAGGTCACACAGCTGGAAACTGTAGAGAAGCTGGAATGTGAACCCAGAAGCTGTGCCCGTGGCCACAGGGCAATCCTGCTTAAGGGCACCACGAGGTTATGGGTGAGAGCACTGATGGCAATGGAGGCTGCCTGGGTTTAGATCCTGGCTCCTGTACTGCGGGGCAGCATGGTCTTGATCACATTACCTGCCAGTGTCTGTTTCCTCCTCTGTAAAATGGGGAAAATAACGGTACCTCCCAGTATTGGCGCTATCTCCAGGCCTAGGTGTCCTGGATCCTTCTGCCCCCTTTACACTCTGTGCAGCATCCAGACCTGCTTGTAATGAGCTCCTCTACTCCACCAAAGCTCTGGTAAATTAATATCCCTGTGGAGTATAAGTGACTGACAGTAACTTCCTCAATCTCCTTGCAGCCTAACCTAAGAAGATGCCTTCTAAAGAATAGCATTCTAATGTGAAATCTTTGTTCTGTGAAAGGCCAATGGAAGAAATCAGATTCCTTTGCAAGGTTACAGAAAAAACAAGACAATGAGTATCTCTAAGAGAGAATGTTCACTTGGAGTGTCGATGGGGTTAGGTGGCCGATACAGGATGAAAGGCTTTCATTTGGCTCCCTGACTTGATGGGTTTGGGGATTTCTCTGGTCCTGATCATTACCTCTTTCCTCCTGCCCAGCATGTGCTCACACCAGCCCCTCTGCCTCATAGTCCTTCTTACATTTTTTTATACAAGGTAAGCTCAGAGGGACTTTTAATATGCCAAACGATGTTAATAAAACACAACTCAAAGACAAGTGCAAACATGCTTTCAACCAACATTAATGAGGAAACAAGACAGAAATTCTTTTTCTTTTTATATTTTATTTTTGAGATGGAATCTCGCTCTGTCGCCCAAGCTGGAGTGCAGTGGCATGATCTCCACTCACCACAAGCTCCTCCTCCTGGGTACAGGCCATTCTCCTGCCTCAGACTTCTGAGTAGCTGGGACTAAAGGCACCTTCAACCACGCCCGGCTAATTTTTTGTATTATAGTAGAGATGGGGTTTCACCGTGTTAGCCAGGATGGTCTCGATCTCCTGATCTCATGATATGCCTGCCTCAGCCTCCCAAAGTGCTGGGATTACAGGTTGAGCCACTGAGCCTGGCCCTGTTTGTTCTTTTACATAAAATTTACAATGTATTTGCCATGATTTAGAAATAAATTTAATTGGAATTTTATTGAAATTGTATGAGACATGATTTAGTCTAAGATGAACACGCAACATTATTATTACTGTTTCCATCCAGCTATGGCATATTTCTTTGTTTTCTCTAGTTGTCTTTTATATCGCTCAATAAAATTTGTGGCTCTGGTACATTTCCTAATAATCATACATTATATTTCATTATTTCTAATTATTATAATGGATTGCATGTACATTTACTATGTACCAGATATTATGCCATATATTCATTATCTCAATTCATAAAACAATCATGTGATTTAGTTGGTGTTATTACTAGATTATTAACATTGTACAAGTAAAGAAAATAAAGACAAAAGAAAAGAGACTCAGCAAAATCAAACCAATAAAGACTTAATTAGAATTGTTGGGCATATAATGAAAATTTAATACAACTCAATGAAAGAAAAAAAAATTTTTTTAAAAAATGACCAAGAAGATTTGAGAAGGAGCCAAACAGAAATTCCAGAAATAAAAACATAATTGTTGAAATTGAAGACAGATTTGACAGCAGATTACATATAATTGAAAAGGAAAATGTAAACTGGAAGATAGGCTGAAGAAATTGCTCAGAAGGAAGCCCAAAGAAGTAAAAAATAAGAAAGAAACAAGAGACATGGAAGACAAGAGTGATAAGACATTACAACTAACAGGATTTCAGAAGTAGAACAATAAACTCTTAGAAAGGTTTTGTAAAAAAGATAATGGCTTGGAATTTTCCCAAAGTGATGAAAAATTCCACCCTTCATATTCAGGAAGCTCAAGTTGGACAGATTTAAAAGGAAAAAAAATACCTAAATGTATCATCATAAAAATAACGGAACCCTGAAGAAAAGAATACATTGAAAACAACCAGAGAAAAAATTCACATTATCCATGAAAGAATATGGATTTAGACCAAGAGCTAATGTCTTAAAATGGAAGCAAGAAGACAATGTACTAAGAAAAAATAATCACATATGAAATTAATATATCTTGTAATAAACAGGCCAAATATAAGACAATATTTAAGTCATAAAAACCAAACAAATACTAAATTTGCTAACTAAGAGACCTTCACTAAAGGAAATTCTAAGAGATGTTTTTCAGTAGAAGGGTGTTCCCCTAGATGGAAGACATGAGTTGCGAGAAGAAATGGTGAGTACGTAAGAAGACAAATAATGTGAGTAAATATAAATGAACACTGACTATACAACATGTAGTTTCCAGTGGATTAAGAATAAGATGAGAAGCAAAACCATAAAACTTCTAAAGATAATATAGTAAAACTACCTTAATAGCCCCAGTGGGTTTTCATATAAAACCCAAACAAATTCTGTTCACCAAAAAAAAAAAAAAAAAAAAAAAACACTATCAGGATCAAAGACCCAAATATAAGGGGTAAAACTATAAAATTTGTAGAAGAAAACATAGGTATAAATCTGTTACCGTGAATTAGGCAATGGGTCTTAGATACAACACTAAATGCAAGAGTGACAAAAGGAAAAACAAACTGGACTTTAACAAAATTCAAAACTTTTGTACTTCAGAGGATACCAACAGGAAAGTGAAAAGAACCCACAGAATGCGAGAAAATATCTACTAAGTCATACATCTGATGAGGAACTAATGTCCAGAATATATAAAGAATTCTTAGAATAACAAAAAGACAACCCGATTAAATGAGCAAACAATCTAAATGAACATTTCTCTAAAAAGATATACAAATGGCCAATCAGCACATGAAAAGACTCTCAACATCATTAGTCATTAAGGATATGCAAATGAAAACTAGATACCACTTCACATCTACAAGGATGGCTATATTTTTTTTTAAAAGGAAAATAACAGATGTTGGCAAGGAGGTAGGAAAAAATGGAACCTCCATACACTGCTGGTAATAATATAAAATGGTACAGAGACTTTGGAAAACAGTTTTGAAGTTTTTCAAAAATTTAAACATAGATTTACCATATGCCCACTACCAGATATATAAAGAAAATTGTAAAAATACCTCCACACAAAAACGAGTACATGAATCTCATCACAGTGCATTATTAATCGTAGTCAAAAAATGAACACAACTCAAATATCCATCAACTAATGAATAGATAAACAAAACATAGTATACTCTTGCAATGGGATTCAGGCATATAAAGCAATGAAGTGCTGACACAAGATACAACATGGATGAATCAGGACATGCTAAATAAATGAAGCCAAACACAAAAGGTCACATATGATTCTCGTTTTTTTTTGATATTTGGCATATGCTAGTCCATAGAGACAGAGAATAGACTAGTGGTTGCCAGGGACTGGGAAAATGGGGAAATGGGGAGTAGCTGCTAGTAATATATTAAAATATTAAATCTAACAAATATGTAGGTAGACTGATGGAGAAAAATACAGAAAACACACAAAAAACCAATTATCTGGAATGTGAAGCTTACAAAACGTCAGCAGTTATAGATTTTAAATAAGCAATGACTTTGAGTTCAACCATGATGGGGTATATTGAAAAGAATCAGAAAAAAAGAAAAAGAAAACTTATAAAGCTATGTACAAAACGTTAAGCACTATTAAAGTCTTCCAATTCTACCAGTTACGGAGTTAGAAACAAAACGAAACACAACAAAACCTAAAAACCTGGATTAAATGGACTACCGAGGGCACCGGCAATGCAACCAAGCAGGTAGGACACGGGTGCTACATTCTCTTTGTCAGAACACAAAGCATTCATACACTCCCGAGGCGGGAGAGCTGGACCAGGAGCGCCCCTCGGCGCTGCCCTTGCCAGGACGCCAGTGGAGCTGGCGGCCGAGTCTGCCGCTCCCGCCCTCAGAGCAGCGGCGGCGGGGGTAAAAAGCTGCGGCAGCAAAAAGCGGC